>NC_000006.12:39453939-39756969 GCF_000001405.40 Homo sapiens
ATCATCTAAGTAATATAACCAACAATGAGGAGTCAGTTGGAATAGAAAAGCAGTGTTAAATACAGTAATAGAAATAGAAAAGAAATAGAAAGAAGTGTTAAATACAGTAGATATTTCTGTTAAATACAGTAGATAGAAAAGAAGTGTTAAATACAGTAGATAAATACAGAACATGATGACTAAGTAGCATGGTGAGTATGTATTAGAACTCTTATGTTGCAATAGTGGAAACCTAAACTTTAAGCTTCAGACACTTTTTGATACAAAGACTCAAAAAGAAAAAAAGAGGAAATATTAATCAGAGAAAGTCACTCAAAATGCAGTACAGTCATCTAAAGAAATGGAAAAGATGAAAGAGAGATTGAGATGTGAAAGAGAGAGAGTAATAAGATCCAACACATGTGTAATAGGAAGCTCCAAAGATGTGAATAGATAGAATGGAGGAAAGGCAATATTAGAAAAGATAATAGCTCTGCATTTTCCAGAAATAATAAATATGTGACACCCGATATCCAGGAGCACAATAAATCCTGATCAGGAAAAATATAAACGAAACTCTTTCCTTAGATATAATAGTGATACTGAGAGCATCAAAAAAAAAAAAAAAAAAAAAGATCGAGCGTGAGCGACGCAGAAGACGGGTGATTTCTGCATTTCCATCTGAGGTACCAGGTTCATCTCACTAGGGAGTGCCAGACAGTGGGCGCAGGCCAGTGGGTGCGCACACCGTGCGCGAGCCGAAGCAGGGCGAGGCATTGCCTCACCTGGGAAGCGCAAGGGGTCAGGGAGTTCCCTTTCCGAGTCAAAGAAAGGGATGACGGACGCACCTGGAAAATCGGGTCACTCCCACCCGAATATTGCGCTTTTCAGACCGGCTTAAAAAACGGCGCACCACGAGACTATATCCCACACCTGGCTCGGAGGGTCCTACGCCCACCGAATCTCGCTGATTGCTAGCACAGCAGTCTGAGATCAAACTGCAAGGCAGCAGCGAGGCTGGGGGAGGGGCGCCCGCCATTGCCCAGGCTTGCTTAGGTAAACAAAGCAGCCGGGAAGCTCGAACTGGGTGGAGCCCACCACAGCTCAAGGAGGCCTGCCTGCCTCTGTAGGCTCCACCTCTGGGGGCAGGGCACAGACAAACAAAAAGACAGCAGTAACCTCTGCAGACTTAAATGTCCCTGTCTGACAGCTTTGAAGAGAGCAGTGGTTCTCATAGCACGCAGCTGGAGATCTGAGAACGGGCAGACTGCCTCCTCAAGTGGGTCCCTGACCCCTGACCCCCGAGCAGCCTAACTGGGAGGCACCCCCCAGCAGGGGCACACTGACACCTCACACTGCAGGGTATTCCAACAGACCTGCAGCTGAGGGTCCTGTCTGTTAGAAGGAAAACTAACAAACAGGAAGGACATCCACACCGAAAACCCATCTGTACATCACCATCATCAAAGACCAAAAGTAGATAAAACCACAAAGATGGGGAAAAAACAGAACAGAAAAACTGGAAACTCTAAAACGCAGAGTGCCTCTCCTCCTCCAAAGGAATGCAGTTCCTCACCAGCAACGGAACAAAGCTGGATGGAGAATGATTTTGACGAGCTGAAGGAAGAAGGCTTCAGACGATCAAATTACTCTGAGCTACGGGAGGACATTCAAACCAAAGGCAAAGAAGTTGAAAACTTTGAAAAAAATTTAGAAGAATGTATAACTAGAATAACCAATACAGAGAAGTGCTTAAAGGAGCTGATGGAGCTGAAAACCAAGGCTCGAGAACTACGTGAAGAATGCAGAAGCCTCAGGAGCCGATGCGATCAGCTGAAAGAAAGGGTATCAACAATGGAAGATGAAATGAATGAAATGAAGCGAGAAGGGAAGTTTAGAGAAAAAAGAATAAAAAGAAATGAGCAAAGCCTCCAAGAAATATGGGACTATGTGAAAAGACCAAATCTACGTCTGATTGGTGTACCTGAAAGTGATGCGGAGAATGGAACCAAGTTGGAAAACACTCTGCAGGATATTATCCAGGAGAACTTCCCCAATCTAGCAAGGCAGGCCAACGTTCAGATTCAGGAAATACAGAGAATGCCACAAAGATACTCCTCGAGAAGAGCAACTCCAAGACACATAATTGTCAGATTCACCAAAGTTGAAATGAAGGAAAAAATGTTAAGGGCAGCCAGAGAGAAAGGTCGGGTTACCCTCAAAGGGAAGCCCATCAGACTAACAGCGGATCTCTCGGCAGAAACCCTACAAGCCAGAAGAGAGTGGGGGCCAATATTCAACATTCTTAAAGAAAATAATTTTCAACCCAGAATTTCATATCCAGCCAAACAAAGCTTCATAAGTGAAGGAGAAATAAAATACTTTACAGACAAGCAAATGCTGAGAGATTTTGTCACCGCCAGGCCTGCCCTAAAAGAGCTCCTGAAGGAAGCGCTAAACATGGAAAGGAACAACCGGTACCAGCCGCTGCAAAATCATGCCAAAATGTAAAGACCATCGAGACTAGGAAGAAACTGCATCAACTAACGAGCAAAATCACCAGCTAACATCATAATGACAGGATCAAATTCACACATAACAATATTAACTTTAAATGTAAATGGACTAAATTCTCCAATTAAAAGACACAGACTGGCAAGTTGGATAAAGAGTCAAGACCCATCAGTGTTCTGTATTCAGGAAACCCATCTCACGTGCAGAGACACACATAGGCTCAAAATAAAAGGATGGAGGAAGATCTACCAAGCCAATGGAAAACAAAAAAAGGCAGGGGTTGCAATCCTAGTCTCTGATAAAACAGACTTTAAACCAACAAAGATCAAAAGAGACAAAGAAGGCCATTACATAATGGTAAAGGGATCAATTCAACAAGAGGAGCTAACTATCCTAAATATATATGCACCCAATACAGGAGCACCCAGATTCATAAAGCAAGTCCTGAGTGACCTACAAAGAGACTTAGAGTCCCACACATTAATAATGGAGACTTTAACACCCCACTGTCAACATTAGACAGATCAATGAGACAGAAAGTCAACAAGGATACCCAGGAATTGAACTCAGCTCTGCACCAAGCAGACCTAATAGACATCTACAGAACTCTCCACCCCAAATCAACAGAATATACATTTTTTTCAGCACCACACCACACCTATTCCAAAATTGACCACATAGTTGGAAGTAAAACTCTCCTCAGCAAATGTAAAAGAACAGAAATTATAACAAACTATCTCTCAGACCACAGTGCAATCAAACTAGAACTCAGAATTAATAATCTCACTCAAAGCCGCTCAACTACATGGAAACTGAACAACCTGCTCCTGAATGACTACTGGGTACATAACGAAATGAAGGCAGAAATAAAGATGTTCTTTGAAACCAACGAGAACAAAGACACAACATACCAGAATCTCTGGGACACATTCAAAGCAGTGTGTAGAGGGAAATTTATAGCACTAAATGCCCACAAGAGAAAGCAGGAAAGATCCAAAATTGACACCCTAACATCACAATTAAAAGAACTAGAAAAGCAAGAGCAAACACATTCAAAAGCTAGCAGAAGGCAAGAAATAACTAAAATCAGAGCAGAACTGAAGGAAACAGAGACACAAAAAACCCTTCAAAAAATCAATGAATCCAGGAGCTGGTTTTTTGAAAGGATCAACAAAATTGATAGAACGCTAGCAAGACTAATAAAGAAAAAAAGAGAGAAGAATCAAATAGACACGATAAAAAATGATAAAGGGGATATCACCACCGATCCCACAGAAATACAAACTACCATCAAAGAATACTACAAACACCTCTACACAAATAAACTAGAAAATCTAGAAGAAATGGGTACAATCCTCGACACATACACTCTCCCAAGACTAAACCAGGAAGAAGTTGAATCTCTGAATAGACCAATAACAGGAGCTGAAATTGTGGCAATAATCAATAGTTTACCAATGAAAAAGAGTCCAGGACCAGATGGATTCACAGCCGAATTCTACCAGAGGTACAAGGAGGAACTGGTACCATTCCTTCTGAAACTATTCCAATCAATAGAAAAAGAGGAAATCCTCCCTAACTCATTTTATGAGGCCAGTATCATTCTGATACCAAAGCTGGGCAGAGACACAACCAAAAAAGAGAATCTTAGACCAATATCCTTGATGAACATTGATGCAAAAATCCTCAATAAAATACTGGCAAACCGAATCCAGCAGCACATCAAAAAGCTTATCCACCATGATCAAGTGGGCTTCATCCCTGGGATGCAAGGCTGGTTCAATATACGCAAATCAATAAATGTAATCCAGCATATAAACAGAGTCAAAGACAAAAACCACATGATTATCTCAATAGATGCAGAAAAAGCCTTTGACAAAATTCAACAACTCTTCATGCTAAAAACTCTCAATAAATTAGGTATTGATGGGACGTATTTCAAAATAATAAGAGCTATCTATGACAAACCCACAGCCAATATCATACTGAATGGGCAAAAACTGGAAGCATTCCCTTTGAAAACTGGCACAAGACAGGGATGCCCTCTCTCACCGCTCCTATTCAACATAGTGTTGGAAGTTCTGGCCAGGGCACTCAGGCAGGAGAAGGAAATAAAAGGTATTCAATTAGGAAAAGAGGAAGTCAAATTGTCCCTGTTTGCAGACGACATGATTGTTTATCTAGAAAACCCCATCGTCTCAGCCCAAAATCTCCTTAAGGTGATAAGCAACTTCAGCAAAGTCTCAGGATACAAAATCAATGTACAAAAATCACAAGCATTCTTATACACCAACAACAGACAAACAGAGAGCCAAATCATGAGTGAACTCCCATTCACAATTGCTTCAAAGAGAATAAAATACCTAGGAATCCAACTTACAAGGGATGTGAAGGACCTCTTCAAGGAGAACTACAAACCACTGCTCAAGGAAATAAAAGAGGATACAAACAAATGGAAGAACATTCCATGCTCATGGGTAGGAAGAATCAATATCGTGAAAATGGCCATACTGCCCAAGGTAATTTACAGATTCAATGCCATCCCCATCAAGCTACCAATGACTTTCTTCACAGAATTGGAAAAAACTACTTTAAAGTTCATATGGAACCAAAAAAGAGCCCGCATCGCCAAGTCAATCCTAAGCCAAAAGAACAAAGCTGGAGGCATCACACTACCTGACTTCAAACTATACTACAAGGCTACAGTAACCAAAACAGCATGGTACTGGTACCAAAACAGAGATATAGATCAATGGAACAGAACAGAGCCCTCAGAAATAACGCCGCATACCTACAACTATCTGATCTTTGACAAACCTGAGAAAAACAAGCAATGGGGAAAGGATTCCCTATTTAATAAATGGTGCTGGGAAAACTGGCTAGCCATATGTAGAAAGCTGAAACTGGATCCCTTCCTTACACCTTATACAAAAATCAATTCAAGATGGATTAAAGATTTAAACGTTAGACCTAAAACCATAAAAACCCTAGAAGAAAACCTAGGCATTACCATTCAGGACATAGGCGTGGGCAAGGACTTCATGTCCAAAACACCAAAAGCAATGGCAACAAAAGCCAAAATTGACAAATGGTATCTAATTAAACTAAAGAGCTTCTGCACAGCAAAAGAAACTACCATCAGAGTGAACAGGCAACCTACAACATGGGAGAAAATTTTCGCAACCTACTCATCTGACAAAGGGCTAATATCCAGAATCTACAATGAACTCAAACAAATTTACAAGAAAAAAACAAACAACCCCATCAAAAAGTGGGCGAAGGACATGAACAGACACTTCTCAAAAGAAGACATTTATGCAGCCAAAAAACACATGAAAAAATGCTCATCATCACTGGCCATCAGAGAAATGCAAATCAAAACCACTATGAGATATCATCTCACACCAGTTAGAATGGCAATCATTAAAAAGTCAGGAAACAACAGGTGCTGGAGAGGATGTGGAGAAATAGGAACACTTTTACACTGTTGGTGGGACTGTAAACTAGTTCAACCATTGTGGAAGTCAGTGTGGCGATTCCTCAGGGATCTAGAACTAGAAATACCATTCGACCCAGCCATCCCATTACTGGGTATATACCCAAATGACTATAAATCATGCTGCTATAAAGACACATGCACACGTATGTTTATTGTGGCATTATGCACAATAGCAAAGACTTGGAACCAACCCAAATGTCCAACAATGATAGACTGGATTAAGAAAATGTGGCACATATACACCATGGAATACTATGCAGCCATAAAAAATGATGAGTTCATGTCCTTTGTAGGGACATGGATGAAACTGGAAACCATCATTCTCAGTAAACTATCGCAAGAACAAAAAACCAAACACCGCATATTCTCACTCATAGGTGGGAATTGAACAATGAGATCACATGGACACAGGAAGGGGAATATCACACTCCGGGGACTGTGGTGGGGTGGGGGGAGGGGGGAGGGATAGCATTGGGAGATATACCTAATGCTAGATGACGAGTTAGTGGGTGTAGCGCACCAGCATGGCACATGTATACATATGTAACTAACCTGCACAATGTGCACATGTACCCTAAAACTTAAAGTATAATAAAAAAAAAAGTAAAAAAAAAAAAAAAAAAAAAAAAGATCTTAAAAGTAGCCAGGGGAAAGGCATATTGTCTACTAAGGAATGACAATTACATTGACAGTATACTTTCTGATAACAACTATGGGAATAAAAAAGAACATAATAGTACTTTTACCATATTGAGAGAAAACATGTATCAACCTAGAATTCTATATGCAGCTAAATTGCCACTTGAATGTGGGTGACAAAATACTCACTTCTGCACTTTACTCTTATAGAAAGTGCAAACTCTAGCCTCAATTCCAAACAATCTTTACCCCAGGTACATAAAAATTTCAGTGTCCAAATGCGGTTTGTCTTTTCATACCTTTGTAATACTGCTTCCTTGGCTTAGAATACCCTTTCCAACATGGCAGGCTTCAACTCATTCTTCTAATTTCAGTTCAAATGCTATCTCTTCTGAGAAACCGTTCATCACTCCTCTTGGAAAAATTATTAACTTCATTCTTGCATTCCTTCACATTCATTTCAATATATAATAAATGTTTTATGAAAGTAAGCACGCATGAATGAAAACACTACATTAAGTGGTCAAAAGAGAGTTTTGCAAGAGGTTAGCCTTAAGTTAGGATTTGCTTTAAGCCCAGCTAGATCTTGTTTAATGTCCAACTTAATAACAATGAGAGTAAAGTTAACAATAAATCATAGGTCTATAATGACAATTATAGCATTCATCATATTATTGGCATTCATCTGTAATAGTCTAAAATGACTATTATAGACCTACGAGAGGAGAAGTGTTCTTCATCAGCAGGTAACACAGGCAATACAAGTGAGGTGGACCCTATTGGTTGACTAACCTACAAATCATGGCCAATTCTCTTCACCTTTACCTTCCTCTCACTCTAGACCAGCAGTGGCCAATGAAACTATGATGTAAGTCATACATATAATTTTAGATTTTCTAGTAATTTTTACTAGAAATTAATAGCTTTAGTTTTAATTTTTACATTAAAAATGTAAGAAAAGGTGAAATTAATTTTAATATGTTTTATTAAACTCATATCAAAAATATAATTTCAACATGTAATCAATATTCATAAAATTATTGATATATTTACATGTATTTTTATGCTAAATAACTATACTCATTTGCATGTTTTATTCTTACAGCACATCTTAATTCAGACACTGAATTTACAGTAGAAAAATTTGATCTACATCTGTTTTATAAATTTACAAGTGTAAAATGTAGCCAAACTGAGTAGTAAAAAATTATTATTTTTTAATATTTGTATCTGTATTGACAAAACCAGTCAATGAAGTGTTTATGTGTAATACAAAAAGTGTGTGTACCTGTTGACACATGTACTATAATACTAATATTTTATACTAAAGTGACATGTAGTCCTTTCAAAACAAGAAAGTTGTATGTAATAGAGACTTTTTATTGCTTCCATTTTATGCTTAAATTAATTAAAATGAAATAAAATTAGAAATTCAGAGATAATTTCAATTGCACTAGCCACATTCCAAGTATTCAATAGTCACATGCAGCTCATGGCTATCATATTGAATGGTGCAGCTCTGGAGGCTGGAAAAGCCATATACCTATGTTTCCAGGCTCCTTTGAAGCTTGGCATGGCTGTGTGATACATTTACTTTATGGCCAAAGAAAATGTATGAGAACGTTTGGAGGGGTATTCTTGGAAGGCTTTTTGCTTTCCTGATAAAGAGACAAACTCAAGAGGAGAACTTGTTGGCACCATTCCTTCCTCCTTCCTGCCTTAAATGTGAACATTATGTAATGTCTGGAGCTATAGGAAACATCTTATCACCATGAGGCAAACTCATATGAAGATGCAAAGTTAGTACACTAAGAATGATGAAGTAATAAAGTGAGACCCTGATGACAATCACTGAGCTGCCAGATCAACACGAGATCACCTACCTTTTGAACTTCATTATAAGAAATCAGTGACTGTCCTTATAACTTAAGTCATTAATAGACTGATAACACTTGTAGCTGAAAGCATCCTAATGGGTACAATGAGCATGATGGGCTGGGAAGAGAGCCAATAGCCAGCCTGAGGAGGGTAGAGGTATTTACTGAAGAATAATGAAAAATGAGTCTACAGAGATGGGGTGGAGCCAGATAATGGAAGGCTGACGAGATATCTGAAATGAGAGGCCCACAGCAAAGCATCTGTCCTTGTCTCAGAGACCTTATCATATTTTGTATTTTCCATAGTAGTTTGTATATATGTCATAAATATATGCACATATATATATTTGCTACTAGATTATAAGGGCTAGGAACTTGTACAGAGAAAATATTCAGTTAATTTTCATTAGTTGATGATTAGATATAGAGCTGGAGGTATCAAGGCTGGTTTTTAGCATTTTAGCATGGATCAAATATTCAACATTAAAGAAAATTCAGCAAACTAAAGCCCTTAGTGAGAAAATCTATTAAGAGTTCCTATATTAACACGTCAAATAGAATGTCTTCAGCCTAACTTTGTTCCATCAACAGCTAAGACAACAGCTAAGATGAAATTTAACTACACTGAGTTAAATTTTGCCCAACCCTCTCTACTTTCAACTTAATTACTGGTAATACCTTATTCTTCCTAAGACATTTGGCTTCTATTTTCATCTCTTTGAATGGGTAACATGTAATCTTATGGTGTCCCTTCTGTTATTCCTCTGAACTAAGCTCCCCCATTTTCTCTCCTTTATCTCACTTCCACAGTGTGAGACTAGGCCTCCAACTAACAGTTTAAATACTATGTAAGCCTCTATTGTCCAATCTGCCTCCAGCCTCATCAATCCCAACCTACTATCCAATCAAATTTCTCTGAAAATATTCTTAAAAAAACATGTTATTTTTTCAGATTTTAAAATAATATGTTCTTTGTAGGACATTTGAATATTTCAACAAAAGAGACGAATAATCTCTAATCTGACTACCAGGAGATAGCAACCATAACATTTTAGTGTATTTTCTTCCAGACATTTTTCTATGCATGTTTAGATCTATTTAACATCATTGAAATTATAAAAGTGTACTCATCTTTTTTACTTCTCATCACATCATAAAACATTTCCTGAGTAATTAAAAATTCCTCAAAATCATCTCAAAAAATAATTGTATGATGTCCCATCAGATGGCCACTTTTTAAATCTTATTTAAACATTTTTCATATCAACACATCTCTTCTGAGTCCCCATAGTGACTGTCAGTTGTCTTTTATTAAATAAAAATTCCAAATCTTGGACCCTTTGGATGCTGTCATTCTAAATCTGCCCCTATCTTCTGCTGGCCTTTCAGATTTTAACCAAATAAGTTGGCTTGCTCCTCTCTCCTTTGAGTCATCATTCATTTTCTTCCTCCCACATCTCTGTCAAATCACTGCTGTCTTTAAAATTTACCTCGGGTAATCTCCTATTGTCTCTTTCTTTATATTTTCAAATATCCTTGTTTAGTAGGTGTACATATTTATTACTTTGAGAGTTTGTGGCTGATCATATTTATGTTTCTGCTACATGTGTGTTATGGTCTGATAGACTGGCAGGGGCCAGGATGGGTGGTGGGACCAAAAGCAGCAGGAGAAGAGCTTGCAGATGGTGGCCACATCTGACCGTTGTCGTGCTTGATGAGGTGGTCAGCACTGAAAGGGAGGCATGAGGCAGGACTATTCTCATGCTCAGAGCTGAGCAGTGGAGGGTGATTATGTTGGCCCGGCTTTGATTAACAAGATAGTCTATCAGGCATTTGGAGACCATCTGCATTTTCAGCCTAAACGAAAACATATTTATTTTGGCTGCTAAGTATCTGGAGGATGAGGGAACCATGTGCATAAGGGAGGCTTACCCTCCTCTTGGAAAAAATGATCTCAATTAGATCAATGTCTGCTTTAGATCAGCCAGCGTATTAAGCATAAACCTGTGCACTAACTTAAGGGTCCCAGTGAAGTGTCCCTACTTTTGGATCTAATGTTCTTGACCTCACACAGCCATTCTCTTATAATCAGAAACTATGAGCATCTGTTTAAAAGTGGAATCTGGAATGCAGAGCAGCCACTTGCCTCCTCCTCCTCACCTAGCCAGGCCATCGCCTGGCAGCTCATCTCCACAGCCTGGATGCTAGTGGGCTAGGGCAGCCAGGTGGGGCCAGCTGGAATGCTCATAAGCACCACTGAGTGGAGCAGGATTCACGCTAACAAGACCCCACAGGAGCCCACTGGACTCTTGACTATGAGAGATCAGCACAACTTGTTGACTTACTATAGTGATATACCTACAATGGAAAAAAAGCCTTCCGAGAACTGCTTTTTAAAAATTGATCATTTGACTCTTATTAATATGCAACAAACATTGGGTCACTGAAAGCATGGCTGTCCCAGTTTATGGCAAAAGAAAGCCTATACAAAAGAAATCTGGTTTTGTGCTTGTTAGCCACTTGAGCAAACAGTTGAACAGGAGCTAGCAGCTCTAAGATGTATCTGTAAATTTTAATTGGTCAGGAGTTCTTTCCTAGTAGCCCACTTTTCCAAATATTTATGGCACCACCAGATGTCCGTGCGTTTCTCATTTCCAGAATAGGGCATGGACAAACTCTGCTGCTTCGGTAGGCGGGCGGGGATATCATACCCCATGTCTGCACATGCCTTGAAAGAGATGGTCTCTGGTTGCAGCATCACTGGCCATAAGGTTATCAAAGGAGGGCAAGAAGCATGGGCAGATGTCTTCATAGAGCATGGCAAGATGCATCTTTGGCAAATGAAGACTTTTTGACGTGTGACTCTGGTCTCAAGAAATCAAAGTAATGACGTTATTATCAAGAGACAATAGCAGGTAATTGAAAAGTTGCCAAAAGTAAAACTTCAGAATCATCCTGGACTCCTCCCTTCTCTTCACTGGCATTTAATTGGTCACACAGACCTTTTGATTTCCTCTCATCTGGACCTCGCCTATCCTTCTCTTCTTTATCTCCAACACCACTGTCTTTGTTCAAACTCTCATCATCTCATGCCTAAACTGCTGCAATACCTTCCTATTTGTCTCCCTGACTTTAGTCTGTCTTCCTATGCACATCAGAAACATCCTTCCAAAATAAATCTGAAGCTTCTCTCTGATGCTTAAATACTTTCAGAGGTTCCCCAGTGTTTATGGCATCATGTCCCAGTCTTGTGTATTTAACAACTGGGCCCTACCCTACGACTTTTCTTCTGCCACTCCCCACCATAAAGGGTACATTGTGTTCTAACTACACTCAACTACTTGGCATCCTCTAAACAGTTCAGACATACCATGATTTTGCATGCCTCTGTTCTTTTTGATCATACTATTCCTTATTCCTCAAATCCTCTTCTCCTTCACCTCTGTTTGATGAATTTACTTCAATAGGCAGCTAAAATATTGCTGCCCCTGAAGCCCACTTTAATTCTTCCTGGCAGAATGTCACTCCCTTCTTTCCAGGCATAGTCCTCGGCTCTTGCCCCCATCATCCCTTCCATATTACATGGCAAGTGCTTCTTTATTTTTGTCAGTCTCTCTGACAGACATCTCTGTGAGCTCCTTGACCACAGGACATTGCACTCCAGGAGTTAACACAGGGTCTCACGTGTGTAGTGTTCAATCAGGTTTGCTGAATACATAAATACGGCTGTGTAAAAAGTTGTTCTGATAAAGCTTTATGTAACAACAAGGCCAACTTTCCTCCCCCCTTCCTCCTTCCTTCTCTCCTTCTTCCTTCCTTCAAACACCGGCTGCCAGGATTCTTTTGGACTTTCTGGAGGAACACATAACAATGGTTTCTGAGCTTCAAGCATCAGAGATAAAGGAGTTGCTATTTCCAAAATGGTGGTGTAGCTCAGAGGACCTCATCACCAGTGACACAATCAAAGTCAGTGAAAATTATTAAAACAAAGAACAACAACAAAAACCATTTGAAATATCTGAAAATTGTCTAAAGGCACGCAGCAAATGGAGAAATATTCATTCAAGGAAATCTACTAAATCTCAGTAAGAAGAGTAAGAGTCCATTGGCATTTGAGCCATGACTTGCTCCTTCCCCACCCCCCACCTCTGCATGATGGAAGCTCTACTCTGGATGACTGTAAATTAGAACATGAAGCTTCCACTCCCCCTAGCTCCCAGTCTAAGGTTATGGTATCTCCCTGGGAAAAGCAGGCCACCCACATTTCTCATGACCCCTATCTCTGTATTGCATAAGCTGTAGGCCAGGCAAGAGCAAATGAGAGATCTGGGGCTTCCTTCCTCCACCCAGGCCCCTCTTTGTAAGGCAGAAGTTCTCTTCCAGGTGAAGCAGGCCAAGAATACCAGGTCTCGATTGCCTTTGCCTGCTCATAAAGTGATGGCTCCATGCCAGGAGAAGTAAGCTGAGAAGGCAAAAGGCTACTTCCCCCCTTCCCAGCACCTCACTCATAAAGCAGGGTGTTGCTTCCAGAGAAGCAGACCACTGTCCCCACTGCCAGTTCCAGAGCAATGGCTTAGAGATTTGTTCCACAGGACAAGGCAGGCATAACAACAGAGAGCTTTATAGCTTTCCCCAAGGAACTGAGGGTACTTGGAACAGAGACTATGAGGAAGTTCAAGCCTGAAGGTGCTGTAGAAAACAATGGAGATTCTGGTGGTAGCCAATGAAAAGGACACTCACTAGTAGCTCCATGAGAGCAACAAGCTAAACCAGTTTAAGTTTAGCAAAGATCAGCTAGATGCTTAACAGAGAGAACCAGGGAAAAGAGATAGTTAATAAGAGCCTTTCCTGGGTTTGAAACAAAACTCAAAGAATGGCCTCAAAGACTACCCCTGCAAATAAGGTGAATTTAACTGCATCAAACTGTGAGGAAATTTATGCTCAGACACTGTTGAAAACAATAAAACCATCAGGTGTCAATTAGTGAAGGCTAATATTTACACATGATATCAACAAAGGCAGTCAGCTTAGCAGAGATATCAGGGAAAAAAAAAACACAGAGAGAGGCAGCCCTGCTAAAACCATTGTCATCCTAAGGTGACTGTGCACATGCCCAAGGCTATGCCCTCTGAGGAACAAAATCATAGGCTAACGCTAAGGGAAATTAGACTTCACTGAGATAGTCCATCCAAGCCACTAGACGAATAAACAAGTATAAACAAGCCCCAGAAAAGGTGGGTGGGGATCAATATCTAGAGCTGCTATATTATCTAAAACATCCAATTTTCAATAAAGAATTATGATAAATGCAAAGAAAGCGCTACCCATACACAAGAATAAAGCAGGCAATAGAAACTGCCTATGAAAGGGCATATATGCTAGCTTAGCAGACAGACTTCAAACCAGTCATATACATATATTCAAAGAACCAAAGGGAGCAATGCTTAAAGAAGTAAAGGTTTGGCTCTGAGGACTTGCTGAAAATGAAAACTAATAAATAAATAAATAAAGAAGCAAAGGACACTATAATGCAATGCCTCATCAAATAGAGACTATCAATAAAGAGATATAAATTATTTTTAAAAACCAAATTGAAATTCTGAAGTTGAAAAGTGCAATAACCAAAATGAAAGATTCACTATAGGGCTCAAGAGGAGATTTGAACTGACAGAAGAATTAGTGAACCTGAAGATAGATCATTAGAGATTACATACTCTGAAGAGCAAAGAAAAAAAAAAGAATAAAGCAAACAAAAGGAATAGAGCCTCAGTGAAATGTGGGGCACCACTGAGGACACCAGGATACAAGTAATGAGAGTACAAGACGGAGGGGAGAAGAGAGAGAGAAAAAGCAGAAAAAATGTTTAAAGAAATAATGCAAAAACACCCCAAATTTGATGAAAATATTAGGTTATAGATCCAAGAGTCTTAATAAATTCTAAGTAGGATCAATACAAAGAGATCCAGACCTAACTACATCATAGTTAAAATGTTGAAAGCTAAAGACAAAGAGAAAATCTTGAAAGCAGCAAGAGAAAACTAACTTGTCATGGACAATAAGATTAAAAGCTGACGTTTAATGAGACATGATGAAGGCCAGAAGCCAATGGAATGACACACTGAAATACTGATGAAGAAAAAGCTGTCAACCAAGACTCTTGTATTCAGTAAAACTATTCTTCAAAAATTAAGGTGAAAGACATTCTTAGATAAATAAAAATGGGAGAATTCATTGCAAACAGATCTGCCTTACAAGAAATATGAAAGGAATTTCTTCAGTTTAAGTGCAAGTGACTCTAAAGGTTAATTCAATTCCACATGAAAAAAAAAAGGACACCAGTAAAAGTAATTATATAGGTAATTATAAAGGATAGTATAATTGCATATTTCTTTTTTAAACTGATCTAAAAAGCAATTGTATCAAATAGTATGTATATAATTTTATTGTGGAAACTATAACATATAAGTGTAATGTAGTTGTTAGTAATAGCACAAAGGAGGGGGTGGAAGCAAAGCTGTCCTGGAGTAATGAAATGACACCAGATTATAACTTGAATACATACATACACACATACAACAATAATAGCATAAAAAAGGGAAGCATGAATAGAGATATATAGGATTAACCTATCTCACTGGAATTAATTAGTATAAATATGAAGTAGATTCTGATAGAGCTGAGATGTATATTTTAAGCCCTAAGCAACCACTAGGAAAATAACTCCAAAATAAACAATAAAAAATCATTAGAGGGATTAAAATGCTACACTAGAAAATATTCACTTAATGTAAAATAAAGCATTAAAGGAGGAGACAGATAAAAAGGACATGATACATAGAAAAAATAAAATGGCAGAAATGAATACAACTATATAAATACTATCATTAATGCAAATAGATTAAAAATCCAATCAAAAGTCAGAGATTGTCACATGAGATTTAAAAAAAACCAAGATTTAACTGTATGCTATAAAAGATACAGTTTACCTTCAAACATACAAATTAGTCAAAAGTAAAAGATGTATCATGAAAACAGTAACCATAAGAAAGCTAAACAGGCTATGTTATTAGACAAAGTAGACTTTAAAACAAAAAAAAATGTTACTAGAGATGGAGAGGAACTTTTAAAACTTTTACTTTAAATTCAGGGATACATATGCAGGTTTGTCATATAGGTAAACTTGTGTCATGGGGGTTCTTCGTACAAATTACTTCATCACCCAGGTATTAAATCTAGCACCCATTAGTTATGTTTCCTGATCAAGAGGGACATTTCATGATGATAAAAGCATCAATCAATCCATCAGAAAGACACAGAAATTACATATAAACAACTAACAACAGAGTTCCAAGAAAGATAAAGGAAACTAACATAATCAAAGAGAGAAACAGATGATTCAACAATAATATTTGGAGATTTCAATACTCCACATTCAACAATGGGTAGAACTAGGGAAAAGATCAATAAGGAAATAGGGAACTTGAACAACACTATATGCCAACTAGACCTAACAGACAGTGTAGAACACTGTATCCAGAAACAGAAGAATACAGATTTTTCACAAGCACACACGAAAACATTCTCTAGGATAAATCATGTCTTTGACCATAAAACAAGCCTTCATAAATATAAAAGGATCAAGATCATACAAAGTATGTTCTTCCATCACAGAATGGTGGGAGGGAGGGCCAAAGTGGATTATAGAGCAGAGAATAGGGGAGGGTTGAGAGTTGGGATATCAGGGCACAGTCAGGAGCAGGTAAAGAGGTAGAGTAGGGAACTTTGGGATTTAAAGTTCAAAGTTCAGAGGTCTAGGAGCAATTGCACATGGTGAAAAAACCAATGCAGTAACAGCAGCTCAGTCTGACGGGTAGCTGAGCCGTACAATGTGATTAAGTGCAACTCAAATGCCTGCCTTGCAGCTCCTGCCTGTGACGCAGGAGGTCACAGACTTCTCTGTAGGAGCATTTTGGACTGGTCATAGCAGAACATCCAGTGGTGTATCTTAATGAATTTATCTCTGAGCACTCCAAAATGAAATCTGCCAGTTGACTGTCCTCAAGATTATCTAAGAAGGATGCCTGTGAAACCCAGGAGGATGATTGCGGGGGAGGTCCTTTCATACTCCCCGGGTGATGTGGAGAATGTTGCATAGACACAGGATCAGGTTTAGAAAACAACATATTTTAGGGCAGGAAAGAGGAGTAACATGTCATGTTTCACCTAAATGTGTAACCATCTACTGACAGCTGTTTCCACTATTCCCCATCAATCAAAGATTTGGAGAGAAGTGTTAACTCTGTCAGGCCAGAAAAAGACCCCTGAGCAGGACTGGCCTTCCCAGCATGCAAATGCACTCCAAGGGAGTAATAAGCACTCACTGTCTGTATTCCTCTACCCACTGCCCTTTATAACGTGGGCTCCCTTATCATATTTCTTTAAGATGATCAGGTTTTTCCTTTAATGGAACACCACAGAGCTCTTTTTCCCCCTGACCTTTTCATTCATGTTGAATAATAAAACTTAACATTGAGCTGTGATTTGATATTACAAGGCCTGGGATGCCAAAGTTAAGGCCTTGAGTTTGCCAGAAGTTTGTAATCCTTGGTCCAGCAAAATTTAAGGATGCAATCTGGAAGTGTTTTAAATGCCAAAAGAAATGTGACACCTCTCTGCTAGGTTTTCATTTCCTTCTCTCCTGTTCTTCTTTTCCCTTGGTATCTTTTATAGTCTCCATGGTTCCTTCCTGAGGCAGCCTCTCTAGCACATGGGCCCACCTCTTCCCAAAGAAGGTTCTACTGAACTCAGTACGGCTGCATTTGCTGCGTGTCTTGTGCTTCCTCCTCTCTGACTCTTTGACCTTTCTTTCCATGATGCCTCTGCCTGCAGGCCCACACTCAGCCTTCTCACTGCCTTCTTGTCTGGCCACGAGATTGACCATTCCCTGTGCCCTGGGCCAGCTACCTACATGGATCTTCTCTACTGTTTCTGGGCAAGGACACTGGTCACAGGGCCAGCGCTCGACACTCTACGTCTTGGATTTTATTTAACTGTGGTCTTTTTATAGGTCCTCCATTCATGAGGCCACACCTCTTCAGCAAATGTGTACCCATGATGGCTGCAGGCTGTCTACCTAAAGGGTCTCAGTGTCCTGATCCTCAATGTCATCATGAGCTGGGGAGAGAGTGTTAAAATCATCTGCCAGCACATCTGAGGACTGGCTCAAGGTAGAAAAGGTCTAGGTAACTCCTATTTTTGTAATCTTCCCAGTGGAACTACCTTAGCTCTAGGAGAAGGGAGTTCTTTTTACATATGTACCTTGGTCTTGACAGAGCTGCTTGCTGAGCATCTAGATAGAGATGATATAGCATGACCTTCTGAAGAATGAATAAACATCAAGGAAACCATCTGGAATAGAGTAAATTGTAAATACATGTCCCTTACTTCTTCCATTTTTAAATGAAGCCATTGATGTTGCTGATTCACCAAAGTATTCCAACTGCAGCCTGAAGTACCCGTGGCACTTAGAATCTATGTCTAAGAGCACCACGTCCTCATGCAAGAAGCAGCCTAAATCCTTCCCAGGAGCCACCCTTCCACTCCTTTACTAACTTGCACCTTTCCCTTCACAAGCAAACTCCTGGAAGAGCTGTCAGCGTTCCTTGGCTCCATTTCCTCAACTACTCTTCACCTTTCATGCCCTACAGTCTGGTTTCTATCCTCAGCACCTCACTGAAACTGCTCTTCCAAGCTCACCTACCACCACCTTATCTTCTTTGATACTAACAACCAAGCCCAATTCCCTTCTCTGTGTCTGTTCCTCTTCAGTTTTCATGCCAGGCTTCTCTTCTCCTTAAATGCTAGCTCTTTTTTCTTTTCTTCTCCTCCAGCCAGACACTTCCATGTCTCGGGGTGAAAAAATCATTCAAAAATTAGTACCCTTAAAATGGCAAATAATGAATGACTCCAAAAGATAAATTGTTGAGACTTTTGCCTTTTGTATTATCAGGGAACTAAGCATAGCCACATGCTCTAAACAAAATCTGTGGTCAGTGCCAACTGCAATAGGAAATCAAGCAGATTTGTGGGGCTTTTGCAGAATGAAAAGTCAAAACCAAAACCAAAACCAACAATAACACCACCTCCTCCTCTCTCCCCCTTCCCACGAATATAAAAACATATTCCAATGTGATACTCTAGTTTTGTTTTGTTTTTCTAAAGGAGCTGCCTGACTTTCTTGACCTTGCAGAAAAATAAAATACTCCAGGTTTTGTGCTTTTACAGATGAGCCCTGGCCAAGTAGGCCAGTGGGATTTACACACTCTCTCTGACACATCACCACACACCTTTTGTTTTGATGCAACTACAGTGTTAATGTCACCAGATTCTTCAATAACAAAAGTGTTGTACATTTTCTTTTTTTTTTTTTTGAGATGGAGTTTCACTCTTGCTGCCCAGGCTGGAGTTTCACTCTTGTTGCCCAGGCTGGAGTACAATGGCGCGATCTCAGCTCACCGCAACCTCTGCCTCCCAGGTTCAAGCGATTCTCCTGCCTCAGCCTCCCAAGTAGTTGGGATTACAGGCATGCGCCACCATGCCCAGCTAATTTTGTATTTTTAGTAGAGACAGGATTTCTCCATGTTGGTCAGGCTGGCCTTGAACTCCTGACCTCAGATGATCCACCCACCTGGGCCTCCCAAAGTGCTGGGATTACAGGCGTGAGCCACAGCACCCGGTCAAAAAAAAAGGTGCACATTTTTCAATCACTTACTGGGCTTAAAAGACTTCTACATCCCAGGCATTCACAAAAAAGCAAAAGAAAAGAAAAAAAGGATAATACAAAATCAATTTAGGTAAAAAAAAAATAAGGTTTTGCTAACTTTTCTGAACATGTGCGACAAAACCTTTTAAGAGCTCTGAGGTTTACACTTTTTCCCTACAGGTTTTCCAATTTAATGGATGATCTAGGAAGACTTACTTCCATGTTTATCCAGTGGCTTTGAGTCCTCTAAATCCCCTGCTGCTAACCTGAGGATATCAAATTTAGGAAGCGGGGCCCAATGTCATTAGAAAGAGACTAAATGTTGTATAATATTTAATACTGCTCTGTCTGCTTCTCCTGACAGAGCAGTATGCAGTAGATTTTTAGAATGATATTTCTCAAACTTGGTTAGAATGAAAAAGAAAGCAATATGCTTTGGGGTTTTGGAGGCAGGGGGCTGTTTTTTGTTTTTGCAAGTTTTATTTATCTGAAAAACTTCATTTCCTACCACAACAGGATAAATGATTCTACTTGATATACAGGTCAAAAATGAAATAGAGAGCAGGCTTAGAACACTAGATATATTTGTCTCTAACTTGACTTCTAGCTTTATTTTCCCCTCTTTTGAGGAGCTTCATTGATTAATTTGGTAACATGAGTATGGTAGAAAACTCAGGACACATCTTTTTCAATGAATAATTTTCTCTGTAAAAATTCATTTGAGTTTTGATCTGGGACCATGATTCTGACCATGACAATACCACCTACTTCTGTTCTTTATTTGGTCTCTGGAAAATCCGATCCCCGAAAATAAAATAGATGTGTACTTCCTCAGAGGCTTCCTGTTATTTCCATGTGACTGTGTAGAAAAATTAATATCTGAAAATAGGTAACAACTGGGGAGAGGATCTCTGACAGGGAAATGTTTAAAGGGACAGTTATTTTTAAGAGTTTGAAACATTTAAAATCTTTGGTTATCTGTAAGTCATGATATATGACTAACTGCTAAATAGGGAAAACAATTCATGAAGATACCTATTTGAGGTCTCTTCATCAAACAGCTAATCTTCATCCACAGGGCTATTTGAAATATCAAGTAGAGTCCCCACTCACATTATTTTCCTAGGTCCCTGACAATATTTGTTAGGATTGTCTTCAGTCGTAGGTAGCCTCTATTCAGGGGTTAACATATTTATTCTCAAATCAAATTTTCTTCTTAGTTGAGAGGTCTGTTTAATTGCAGGTATGCAGTAACTAAGGTAACTGGCACATAGTAAGTGTTCAATAAATCTTCCTTCTTTACTTGCATGAACGAAGGACATCTTATAAACCTTGTATTTCACATCAGAATGCCAGACTCAAATATTTCCATGGGGGTAATAAGTGATCACAAAAAAACATAATAAATGGGCTAGACTGCCAGCTTCTCCTGTGAAGGAGCTGTGGTCTGAAGCTTCTCCTCCACCTCTTTCAGAGGAACTCTGGGTATGTGGCAGGCTACATAAATACTCAGTGAGAACTGTGTGTGGTAACGCTGTGATTTGTGAATTGTGACATAACATGCTTATCTCTGGATAAGTGGCAAGCCTCATACGATGGTTCCAACTCTAATTTGCAGTTGAACTGCCTTGCAGTGGGCCTACTGCCTGTGGCATAATCACCAGGGTGGTCGTCCAGACATATTGATTACTCATTTATTCCTGTATGGATTTAGGACGATTGCTATGACTTCAGATTATTACAAAAACAATTATATGATGGTCCTGTTGCTGAAGGTGAGCATAATGTTCTTTCTCTTGCATTTCTCAATGCTAGAATTCCTTTACTTAAACTAATTTTGCAATGAGTTAAGAAACAAATGTTGGAAGGAGCTTCATTTGGGAATTTGGAAGCCCTGAGTCAAAGTCTTGGCTCCTTTATATGAATTGTGTGACCTTGGGCAAGTCACTCAACCTTTCTAAGCCTGGTTCCTTCCTGCCCACAAAATGGGGAGTGGGTGGAGATGGAAATAATTACCCTCCCTGCCTCATATGGGTGTTCTGGGGAGGAAGTGACACAATGAACACAGATGTATTAAATCGACTGTTAAATGCTGAACATATGTCAAAGTTGTTTCTTGTTGACCTGCCATTTTAAAACACACGCAAACATACAAGCACCAAACATAACAACAGAAAAGAACCAGTGATGGAAAGTTTGCAAGTATGCTTATTTTAAACAGCTTATCTTCATCAACAGGGCTATTTGAAATAACAAGTAGAGTCCCCATTCACATTATTTTCCTAGGTCCCTGACAATATTTGTTAGGATTGTCTTCAGTCATACAGAATCTGAAATCAGGATTCTAACCTGACATTTCAATTTCTACCTTCTCATTCTTCTTTGCCTGTCCCCTTTTCTGCATACCTGCAGAAAAGTGTGGGCTGTTGCTCCTGACTCAGTCCCAGGCTTCATGTGATTTTATATTCTGAGCTCAGTTCAGCTTGAACAGCCTTCCCATGACTGTGGAGGTAGCTCTCATTCTCTAAGCAGCGAGAGGCGCCTTCATGAGCAGCTGGAGAGTTTTACACTTCTTTTGAGGTAGGCTTTCCTTTTGTAGCCACAGCTCAGCTTCAGCACAGCTGTTAGAAAAGTCACACCATGGAATACTATGCAGCCATAAAAAGGAACAAGATCATGTCCTTTGCAGGGACATGGATGGAGCTGGAAGCCATTATTCTTAGCAAACTAACACAGGAACAGAAAACCAAACACTGCATGTTCTCACTTATAAGTGGGAGCTGAACAAAAAGAACACATGGACACAGGGAGAGGAACAACACATACTCGGGCCTGTGGTGGGGGTGGGGAAGGAAGAGCATCAGTATAAATAGCTAATGCATGCGGGGCTTAACATCTAGGTGATGGGTTGATAGGTGCAGCAAACTACCATGGCACATGTTTACTTATGTAACAAACCTGCACATCCTGCACATGTATCCCAGAACTTAAAATTAAATTAAATTAAAAAAAAAAAAAGAAAAGTCACTTCAAGTACCAGGGCACCATGGAGATTCCTGCTGTGATCTTAACAGTTGCTCCCATCCTCCACTTAACTAGCTGTGGTTTCCCTGTGACTGGAGATGGTCTAAAACAAGCAGAGGGCAAATGTGCTCCTGAAGAATGGAATCCCACAAAGTTCATAAAACTAACAGACAATCAAGCATGCTTTGCTTGTGGCTTATGGTATTTTGATGTGAGAGCATACAGAAACAACAGAAGCGAAGAAACTCAAGCTTCTAACTCCAGCCAATGATGGCCTGCACCATCAGAAGGAGCTGGGCTCTGGGTGGACTCTAAGAAGAAATGAAGCTAGAAGTAGCCTGAGGAACCCAGTGTGAGGGTCTTATTTTATCTCTCTTCCTGATCTACTAGTTAGTTCTATGAAAACCACTTAACCATACCAGCTCCAAACCACTCTTTAAATAAACAAGAACTCATGGAAAAGAGGTGTGGGATTCTTCTTTTCCCAGTCCCTCACCTTTCTGAGGATGAATAAGGTATTTCATGTGGGATTCTCCACTTTTCAGTCTAACATAAATAATTTATTCACCCAGAATACTGTTTGTAATCTTTGAACATCTGTATGTTGCTTTTATAACTGCACTGTGAGCTTATCATATTTTATGCTTCTTGAGGGAAGGATCACATATAATTTAAGATTTATAGCTTCAATAACATCAGCATTTATTCAATCATTTACCAACTTCTTCATATAAACATTTACTGGATTTACAAATCTTGACTGAAAATCTACTTTGTAGCGAGGCATTTGGGAAGGCTCTGGGAGGGATACAGAAATGATGAAGTCAGTCCCCTCAGTTAAAGAGTTTAAAATACACTGGGCCCATAAACATATGAAAAGGTGCTCAACCTCACTCATAATATGAGAAAAGCAAATTAGAGCTGCATGAAGATTTCACCTAATAGAGCAGAAAAACTGCCAAAGTGAGAACCCCCTGTGTTGACAAGGCTACAGGGAATCAGGCAATCCCAGGTATTGTCGGTGGGTATGTAAATTAGTACAGAAAAATCCCCAAACAGGGCAATTTGGAAATCTCTGTAAAACTTATAAATGCATGCGGATTTTGATGTAGTGAGCCTATGTGTGGAAATTTATTTTGTAGACATACATGCACATACAAACTGATATAAGGGCAAGTTATGTGTTGCAGCATCACCTATAACAGCAAAAGATTGTTAAAAAAGAGATAAGGGGTTTATCTAGTGATAAACGATAAGGGGCTGGTTCTCTGCATAATGGAATACTATGCAACTGAGAAGAACAATTTGGAAAAATGTTGAAGATCTGTTTTTAAAATAAATTTTATTGGCTGGGTGCGGTGGCTCACGCCTGTAATCCCAGCACTTTGGGAGGCCAAGGCTGGTGGATCACAAGGTCAAGAGATTGAAACAATCCTGGCCAAAATAGTGAAACCCCATCTCTACTAAAAATACAAAAATTAGCGGGGCGTGGTGGCGCACTTCTGTAGTCCCAGCTACTCGGGAGGCTGAGGCAGGAGAATGGCTTGATCCCGGGAGGCGGAGGTTGCAGTGAGCCGAGATCATGCCATTGCACTCCAGCCTGGGTGACAGAGCCAGACTCTGTCTCAAAAAAATAAATAAATAAAAATAAAAAATAAATTTTATTGTATATATTTGAGGTTTACAACATGATATCATGGGATATACATATATAGAAAGTGAAATGGTTACTACAGCAAAATAAATTAACATATATCTATCACCAAGATCTTTGTTTTTTGGATTTTATTACATGATTTTATTATTTTTTAAAAATTTTTCATTTCCATAGGTTTTTGGGGAACAGGTGGTATTTGGTTACATGAGTAAGTTCTCCAGTGGTAATTTGTGAGATTTTGGCACACCCATCACCCTAGCAGTATACACTGAACTCAATTTGTAGTATTTTATCTGTTACCCCCCTTTCACCCTTTCCCCCAAGTCCCCAAAGTCCATTGTGTCATTCTTATGCCTTTGTATCCTCATAGCTTAGCTCCCACTTATGAGTGAGAACATATGATGTTTGGTCTTCCATTCCTGAGTTACTTCACTTAGAATAATAGTCTCCAATTCCATCCAGGTTGATGTGAATGCCATTAATTCTTTCTTTTTATGGCTGAGTAGTATTCCATCATATATATATCATGTCATTATCCACTTGTTGACTAATGGGCATTTGGGCTGGTTCCATATTTTTGCAATTGCAAATTGTGCTGCTATAAACATGAGTGTGCTAGTATCTTTTTTGTATAATGACTTCTTTTCCTCTGGGTAGATACCTAGGAGTGAGATTGCTGGATCAAATGATAGTTCTACTTTTAGTTCTTTAAGGAATCGCCGCACTGTTTTCCATGGTGGTTGTTCTAGTTTACATTCCCACTAGCAGTGTAAAAGTGTTTCCTGTTCACTGCATCCATGACAACATCTATTTTTTTTTTTTTTTTTTTGGTGGTAGAAGTGTTCCCTGTTCACCGCATCCATGCCAACATCTATTTTTTTTAAATTTTTTGATTATGGCCATTCTTACGGGAGTGAGTTGGTATTGCATTGTGGTTTGATCTGCATTTCCCTGATAATTAATGGTGTTGAGCATTTTTTTCATATGTGTGTTGGCCATTTGTATATCTTCTTTCAAGAATTGTCTATTCATGTCCTTAGCCTACTTTTTGATGGGATTGTTTTTTTTCTTGCTAATTTCTTTGAGTTCCTTGTACATTCTGGATATTACTCCTTTGTTGGATGTATAGATTGTGAAAACTTTCTCCCAGTATGTGTGTTGTCCGTTTACTCTGTTGACTGTTCCTTTTGCTATGCAGAAGCTCTTTAGTTTAATTAGGTCTCAGCTATTTATCTTTGTTTTTGTTGCATTTGCTTTTGGGTTGTTGGTCACGAAGTCTTTTTCTAAGCCAATGTCTGGAAGGGTTTTTCTGATGTTTTCCTCTAGAATTTTTATAGTTTCAAGTCTTAGATTTAAGTCCTTGATCTGTCTTGAGCTGATTTTTATGTAAGATGAGAGATGAGGATCCAGTTTCATTCTCCTACACGTGGCTTGCCAATTATTCCAGCACCATTTGTTGAATAGGGTGTCCTTTCCCCACTTCATGTTTTTGTTTTGTTGAAGATTAGTTGGCTGTAAGTATTTGGGCTTAGTTCTGGGTTCTTTATTCTGTTTCATTCATCTAGGTGCCTATTTTTATACCAGTACCATGCTGTTTTGGTGACTGTGGCCTTACAGTATAGTTTGAAGTCAAGTAATATGATGCCTCCAGATTTGTTCTTTTTGCTTAGTCTTGCTTTGGCTATGTGGGCTCTTTTTTGTTTCCATATTAATTTTAGGATTATTTTTTCTAGTTCTGTAAAGAATGATGGTGGTATTTGGATGGGAATTGCATTGAATTTGTAGATTGCTTTTGGCAGTAAGGTCATTTTCACAATATTGATTCTATCCATCCATGAGCATGGGATGTGTTTCCATTTGTTTGTGTCATCTATGATTTCTTTCAGCAGTATTATTTTATTATATTTTATTTTTTTGCAGCTATTGTAAAAGGGGTTGACTTCTTGATTTGATTCTTGGCTTGGTCACTGCTGGTGTATAGCTGAGCTAGTGATCTGTGTACATTAATTTTGTATCCTGAAACTTTGCTGAATTCATTTATCAGTTCTAGGAATTTTATGGGGGAGTCTTTAGGTTTTCTAGGTATACAATCATATCATCAACAAACACCTATAGTTTCACTTCCTCTTTATCAATTTGGATGCCGTTTATTTCTTTCTCTGGTCTGATTGCTCTGGCTAGGACTTCCAGTACTATGTTGAATAGAAGTGGTGAGAGTGGGCATCCTTGTCTTGTTCCAGTTCTCAGAGGGAGTGCTTTCAACTTTTCCCCATTCTGTATAATGTTGGCTGTGGGTTTGTCATGGATGGCTTTTTATTACATTGAGGCATGTCCCTTGTATGCTGATTTTTCTAAGGGTTTTAATCATAAAGTGATGCTGGATTTTGTCAAATGCTTTTTCTGTGTCTACTGAGATGATCGTGGGATTTTTGTTTTTAATTCTGTTTATATGGCGTATCATATTTATTGACTTGCGCATGTTAAACCATCCTTGCATCCCTGGTATGAAACCCACTTGATCATGGTGGATTATCTTTTTGATATGCTGTTGGATTTAGTTAGCTAGTATTTTTGTTAAGGAGTTTTGCATCTATGTCCATCAGGAATATTGGTCTGAAGTTTTCTTTTTTTTTTGCTATTGTCCTTTCCTGGTTTTGGTATTACGGTGATGCTGGCTTCACAGAATGATTTAGGGAGGATTCCCTCTTCTGTATCTTGTGGAGTGGTGTCAAAAGGATTGGTACCAATTCTTCTTTGAATGTCTGATAGAATTCAGCTGTGAGTCTATCTGGTCCTGGGCTTTGTTGTGTTGGTAATTTTTTTATTATCATTTTAGTCTCGCTGCTTGTTATTGGTCTGTTAAGGATTTCTAATTCTTCCTGATTTAAGCTAGGAGAGTTGTATATTTCCAGGAATTTATCCATCTCTTCCAGGTTTTCTAGTTTATGTGCATAAAGGTGTTCATGGGAGCCTCAAATGATCTTTTGTATTTCTGTCATGTCAGTTGTAATATTTCCCATTTCATTTCTAATTAAGCTTATTTGGATATTTTCTCTTCTTTTCTTGGTTAATCTTGCAAATGGACTATCAATTTTATTTATCTTTTCAAAGAACCGGCCTTTTGTTTCATTTATCTTTTGTATTTTTTTTCTTTCAATTTCATTTAGTTCTGCTCTGATCTTAAACCATAATCTATATTTAAGTGAGAAAACCAAGGTCCAGAGAAGCACGTATAGCATGCTATCTTTTTTTAAAAAATGAAGAAAGATAAGAGCATACATTAATATTTTCTTGAGGTTGTATAAAGAAGCTCCAGAAGTATACACAAGGAAATAATGAATGTGTTCAGGAATGATGGGAGGTGTGTAGAGTGTCAGGTGGTAATGGAACAGATAGGAACTGAAGTGGGAACAAAACCCTTTACTGTTTATCTCTTTATATTGTTCTGGTCTAAGAGGCATGTGGATGTATTACCTCTTCAACATATAAAATAAATATGTTTTAAAGATTTTATAGGAAAGATATACATGTCCCAATAATATGTACTATACACATCTCTGCCTTATTTTCTAATTAAATTTAAAACTCCTTCAGGGATGAATTACATAAGAGCCTTTTAAACGAATCTCTCCATTTCTCCCTCTCCAATTTCTCTTATAAATCCTTGCCAGACTAATCTTCCCAAATACCTTGTTAGACAGATTGCCAGAAATGATTCCTTATGGTCTCTGCACCAAATTCAAACATCTCTGACTTCTAGGGCTCCCCACAAACTCACCCCACCCAACCAATGCAATTTAATGTCCACAATTGAGATCTCCAACAAGCATCATTTGCTTCTATCAGGGTGGGTTCATCATTGTTCTTGAACGTTTCCATCCCTGTGCCTTTGCTTGAGCTATTTCCCATCTGTGGGGATGACTTACACTTTCCCCTCTGACTATTCTGAAGTTCACTGTCTTCCAAGGCCGCTCCCTTCCCTAAAGTCTGCATTTTGAGCCCATTCTGATCTATCCCTTATGTGACCTCCATGATACTGTCAGTACTCTGTGCTTAACTCAGATTCTGCAATAAAACCGTTAGTTCCTTAGAGATAAAGACAACGGGACCTTTAGGCACACACACACACACACACACACACACACACACACCCCACTGGGACCCGTGGGAGGCAGCAATATCAACCACAGATAACTCCAGCTTTCTGGGTCTTACTAAGAAGATGCTTTCCAGGTCACAGCTATAAGGAATGGCTAGACCCCAAGTCATTCACCATTTCATCTTTCCTAATGGAGTTTTAGGGACACTGAGCCAAATTCTCAGATTCCTGTTAACCATTTTGTATAACAGGCACCTTACTTTAGATCAAACTGAAATTCAAACTTCACTGATTCTACCTGGTGAATTGCAGGGAGGTCTCATGTAAATTCTTGCTATTACTACCACTATCACCACCAGATGATGGAAGAGCTGTGAGGACACTTGAGTTCTCCAAGAGAAAAGAGGGCAATATCTGTTCCCAGTCCCTTTAGGCCCTTGTCTGAGCCCTCTGGAGCAAGAGAATGAGGCTGAACCTGAAGTGGGTTCTACAAGAGGCTGAGGATGGAAGTGTCTGGGTAGTGACAAGAGCCAGAGAAATTTGCATTATTTCTTTTCATATAACCTCATTCACCCTCCCAAATACATGACACCTTGAGAAATTTAGCTTATATCTGATATTCATTTACTAGTTCCTCATGCAGTATTGGGCTCGTGATGTTACTGATAATGAATACATAATTTGATGTTAGCAATGGCCAGGAGGTTACATTTGGAGAGCTGCCTCCCTCCCATCCATTGGTAAGGGCTGTTTGGAGTCTCACTGAGAAACATTTTGAAGCCCAGTCCAGCCCACTGGGAGAGAGTACCATAAGCCATTGCAGATGTCTGCCAAGGGCTCCGGGTACGAGGACACATGTTCTATGGATTGGATGTGTCATCCTTGCTCCTATGCAGACAAGGAAACTGGGCCCTAGAGAAGGGGAGGGGCTTGTTCCCAGGTCTTATGACCAACCTAGAACCAGAGCCCAGGCTTCTTCTCTCCCGATCCAGGCTTCCCTTTCCTGTCAGGTTGTTTTGCTTTTTAGATCAATGGAAAAGTAAGGATCATCAAAATAACAAATAATCCAAAACTTTCATTTCAGTAAAGAGTTTTTATCTTTCATTCCTTCCCTTCTCTCTGCCAAAGAAGCTGTTTTAAAAGAAAATATTCAGCCGATTTGAGAGATTTTCCTCCTTTCTCTCTTGCTCCCTGCTGATCTTTTGGGGAAAGGGAACAGAATAGACAAAATATAGGCAGTCTGAAGGAAAAATAAGTAGGGCACTATTTGTTATTGCATAAGCTGTGTAAATAATCCAGAATCAATGGTGCCTGTAAACTTGCTTGGATGCACCAAGATTCTTTCCTCTCCACAACTGTGATTTTCCTGAAGTCCCTTCCTCCATCTCTTGCTTGTGAAACCCTCACCCAGCTCCACATTTGATTTCTGCATCTGGGATTATGGGGAAACAGTAACTTTTAAAAAGATTTCCCACCTGACACATCATATTATGAGTCCTCACACTGGGGTGTACCTTTGTCTGACATGCCAAGTTTTCTCTGTTAGCATTTTAAAAGGCTGTCCCTCGCTCATGAAAACAACTTGAAATCCATTGATTTAGAGCAGGTTTTAAACCAGTGCATTTCAAGCATCTGAAAGAGATCTAAAGTTTGACCCTAACAGTAAAGGTCCAGGCACTTGAATGTTTTGCTGCTCTTCCAGGCCTTTATCCGAGATTCAAAGGAGAACCTCAAGGACTGTTACTATAATATCCAGGATATCAGCCCTAAGAGAAAAGGGAAATGGAAGAAAGCCTACCAGCATTTCAGGATCAGTAAATGAAATGAGACAGGTTCTGGTGAAAGACCAGGTATCTAAAAGTGACATTTCTCAGTAACTAGCTGTTCTATTCATTCCAAAAACATCTATTGAATTCTGGCCGAGGGTCAGGAACCAGGGATAACAAAAATCAATCAGCCATATTCCATGCTCTTCAATTCATAAAGAGTGGGAGAGGCTATATACACATGTAAACAGGTGACTTCAGTGCAGTGTGACAAATGATAATGAAGATGAAGACAAAGCAGTGCTGTGAGAACACTTCCAAAAGTGACTTAAAGGAACTTACTGCTGCCATCATTCACTCTGCATTCGCTACATACCACCCTCCATGTGCACATGGCCGTTTCCATCTCATCTCCCTATCATGTTGTAGGGGCCATGTGGTCAACTTACTTGTTGTCTTTACAGGGCCTGCTCCATGGCAGATGCTTAATTAACAAATTAGACCCACAAATATTTATTGAGTAGCTTGTACCTGGTGTGAGACACAAAGTAGAGAGGAGGCTAATAATGATGAATAAATTCATTTCCACATTCAAGGAGATTACAGTTCAGTGACCATGAAGATGTAATATGATAAGGTGTCATAAAAGCGACACAAGCAAAAGTGCTAGGAATGCAGGGCCAGGAAGGGTCAATTCTGTTAGGACTGATAAGGAAGCCACAAGGGAGAGGAAAGAGCATGGAGTCCTATGGAGCAGGACCACAGGCAAGAAATGGCGGGAGATGGAGTAAAAGAAGAAGCTGGAAATGTAGACAGGCCAATGCCCCTTAAAGACTTTGAACTTTATTTTTGAGATAAGAAAAAGTCTATTGTTGATTGATGAAAATGATTACTTTCAAGAGTCCCAGATACGTGCAATATTACTGTAGTTAAGCAATTACTGAGAGCCACCTGGACTATAAACCTTGGGGCTATTTTTCTCCACATTAAGCTACATTCCTCTTCCTAAGGACTGGGCCTGTATATATAAAGGTGTCACTATCCCTTCATATATGGGCCAGGCTGTGGTGCAGTGGAGCCACTTAGATGGGAAGCTTGCATCTGTGACTATCATCTCTGCCTCTCCTCAATCTGGGTTTGCCTCCCCCAGGGAAGCCACTCTAGGCACCTTTCTCTGCCCTCTCCTCTGGATTCTGGCTGATCCCATGGGGGTTCTTTATCAGCCTCTCTCTCCCCAGCAATTCATTGTCATCTCCCCCAGGGCTCTCTCCTTGGCCTGCATATTTCTCCATCTTCAAGATGAGGAACTTACATCTTAGTGAGGTTGCCCATTGTCCCACTGCTAGTAAGCATAGTGAGTAGAAAAGGACCTGCAGTAGTACTTCCAGAACTAGGACTCTGTGTTACTTTCTGGTAGTGAAGCTGGTGCAATCTACACATAACAGATGAGATCAGCCACCTGCAGAGCCATTTCATAGACAGGATGTCTCAGAAAATTAAGGAAAGAAGAAAGCTCTGGAAATTTAATCAAGTATGATGAAATGTGAAAATGCACACAGCTTCTTATCAGCAAGATTGTCCTTGACAATTTCTTTAAAAACCACTATCCCCCACCAACTCTTTATCCCCTTATTATGCTTGGCTTTTCTTCACAGCACTCATGATGTATTTGCTTCTTTGATTGCTAACCATCTTACCCATTTGAATATGAGTTCCTTAAAGGCTGGGGACTGCATCTTCATCTAACTTTGATCCCCAGCACTTAGAACAGGGCTTGACACATAGTAGGCCAGGAATCCATAAAATCTGTAGTTTAGCGATTCTCAAGTGAAGAGATTGACAAAGCATCTTCCATTCTTCTGCCTTTCCCCAAAGATTCTCATTCTTCTACACATTATCAATGTGCAGAGAGCCACTGTCACGAAAGGAGCATGTTGGCCTCTCAGCTATGTCAGAACACAACAAACAGCAAGCCACTGATTTTGTTTGAACAAGGGATTTAACACATATTTAGAAAGAATGTGCCAACACAGGAAGGAAGGGTAAAAGAAAGAGCTTGCACCCATAGAGCACTTACTCTAGGCCAGTAAAGCTCCGAGTGCTTTATCCTTTTTGACTCATTGAATCCTCACAACATTTCTATGAGGGAGATAGGTGTATATATTATCCCCATTTCATAGATGAGAAAACTGAGGCACAGAGAAACTAAGTAACTTGTCAAGGTGGCACAGCTAGGATGTGGGATTCGAATTCAGACAGTCAGCCTCCAGAGTCCCTGCCAGGCAATGAAGAACAATGCTTGTGGCAGATGAAAGATGGCTGTGAACACTTTGACATTTTGTCCATCAATGAGTGAACTCTATGTCCCCTACCTCTGAATCCAAGTTGGCCTGAGGCTGACTTGATTAATAAGATATCACGGAAGTATCACTATGCCAGTTCTGGGCCTAGCTTTTCAGAAGACTAGCAATTTCCATTTCTTTCCTCTGGGAAACTTGAGCTTCCATGTAAATGGTCTGACTACCCTGCTGGAGAGGCCAAGTGGAGAAGCCCTGAGACTCCACAGAGAGACAGAGGGAACCTGCAGGGCCCAGGTTTCCAGTTGTCCCTTCTAGAGCACCCGTCATGTGGATGGGCCATCTGGGGCCCTCAGCAATGCCTAGTTGACTACCACTGGGTAACTCCATTGGATGTCACGTGGAGCCTAATAGTCACCAAGCTGACCTCTATCTAAATTCCCAATACACAAAATCATGAGCTATAATAAAATGATTGCTGCTTTATACCACCAAGTTTTGGAATAGTTTGTTATGCAATTATACTGTGTTAATTGGAACAGTGTTCATCAAATTTTTCGACTGAGATGCACAGAAAGAAATACATTTGCCGCAAACTCTACATATGTACATACTAAAGAAACCCTGAAGTTTAGCTTTGGATCCAGTCTTTGAAAGTCCAAGTGGCTGAATGCCTAGTTCAACATCATTTCTAGAATTTCTGAACCTGTGAGTGATCAGCAATAACATGATTGCAAAGGTTGCATGAACCCAGCAATGTTAATAATAGAACAAGGAAGGCTGTTGGATTTATAAATATCTGAATATTCACTTTGAAATATTCTAGATATAACCCAGAATGAAAATCTATATCTGCATCAGTAAGTTGAATTATAAATGTACATTTATTACTGCAAGACTAAAACAGAGCCATAACAATTATAATGCTATAAACAAAACAATTAAAAAAATTTCAAAATAACAACCAAATGTTGTTAACAGTAACAACAAATAATACCACAGTGTGTATCAGTTTACTTTAAAAACAGCATTCTATCCTTTCTGAGCCAACACATTTTTCTAAATTTAAAAATAGTAATAAATAAAAATAGAAAATTAGATTGATTCTTTTTACTTAAATGAATTTATGTTTTAATAACTTAATTCAACTGAGGCTGTAAGTCTGACAAACTATATACTACGTTGCTGTCATGGATACTGTGGGTGTCAGCTATATCCCCATTCAGGACCTGGTCTCCCAGCTGCTGGGACTGCTGCTGGCCCACAGATGTCAGAGGTCAGCCCTCTCTGGGAATTGCCCTCTGCTACTGCCTCATCCAAAGTCAGATTCCCTCCCCAGGGGCATCCAGCACCCAAAGACTGGTCCATGTACCTACCCTAACATGGGCCAGCTCTGGAAGGCCACCCTTTAGCTTTCCGGCTTGCTGTGGAGAGGACTGAGGCCTTTATTGAGACAGCTTCACAGTCTAGCTTCTCTCTGCCTAGGTCTGCTTTCTCCCTTCCCCCACAGGTGTCAATGCCAAGAGTTCTCCCTACAATTATTTTTGTTCCAGACGAGGTAAGAAATATACAGAGTATTAAGAAAAGAAGAAAGTGTTAGAGAAAGGAGAAACTCAGAAAGCATCTAAATTCACCACTGAATCCAGGTGAGTGCTATTTTGTTTTGCGAATGGGCAGTTTAGTGGCTGAAAAACAGTCCTATAGATGACAATCTGAGATGTGATTATTTCTATCTTAAATGTCAGACTTCTAAAAATCCAAGCAGTAATTTTTCATAAAATTTCAGATTTATTCCTATATCCCCAAAATTTATTTCATCATGGGGTTATGAAGCTTTGGCCTCCACTTCAGGTGAATATTAACCCTCAACATTGGCCATTTGGCATTTGGCCAAGATATAGTCAGGGCACCTCAAACTATATACTTGCATTTATAGGCATCTATCTATCTATCTATCTATCTAATCATCCATCCACTCATCTAAAATAAAATCTCATGAAATAATACTTGCCCTTATTATACATAATGTCCTCTAATAATTTCTATTATATTTCATTTTTTAAATTGCTCATTATGACCTACGAAGTTATTTTCTTGACCCACCAATGAGTCGACACTTAGTTTGACAGAGGATACCCACTTGCCAAGAATTGGCAGCATTCTCTAGGAGAAGTAATGCTTAAAATCAGCCAACCCTGATATTCAGTTTACTTGGCAGGCAGAGTAGGGGTCCAGCCTCATGACACAAGGGTTAAGATCTCCCATTTCATTGTCTTGTTCTGATCCACACTCAATAATCATCTTAGATAGTTTGCCCTGTGGTTTCTGCATAGTCTGCTCCCCTGTCTTGGACTTGCTGTTTCTGCTTTGCCCCACTGGTTGTCTGATTACAACTGCTATTCACTTCAGGACTTGGCAGAGATGCCCTTTTCTCCCAGAAGCCTTTTATGACTCTAGGAGCCTGGGTTAGGTCTCCTTCTGTGTAGTCAAAACTGACTGTATTGGTCTTGCTTGTTTACTAGATGGTGGGAACTAAGAGCCTACAGACTGTATTTTATTTATCTTTGACTCCCTAGGACCTGACATCGTGCTTGGCACTCAGTATGCAATTGGTAAATATCTGCTGAATATGCAAATATTTGTCTAGCCATGTACATATTCCTACTAGAGAGAGACACTGTCCTGACCAGCCATTCACCAACTAAACATTAGAATTTGGGCTTGTTTGGCAAATATAAATGATATTGTAAATTCTTGTCAATTGATATTTTGGGACTTATAGCTCTTTCTCCTGTGGGTTTAGTTTGCATGAGCCCATCCTCATTAATTTCATTAACTCTGGAGGAATCACAAAATTTAGTTTCTAGAATGGCAGAGTTGATTCCCAAACCTTTATGATTTCACCTAATTAATGTTGTCTTCCAAAGTCTTGACAGCAGCCATCTGATGTCTGACTGTGATATCCCTATTTTGCCCCCTTGACATCAATTTTAAGTTCAGGGAAAATGTTTGAAATCTAAGGCTTTTTAAAATACAGCTACCCTCTATATCTTCATGTCAATTAAAGTGATGGCCATAGAAATCAGCTTTAAGCTATCTTCTACTTTCTCTTGATTTGGTATAATATCTGTTTTCTAAATTGCCTTTGAATATTTGAATTTCTTTTGTGGGATTTATCTTTTCCTTTTTGAAGCTCAGTTTTTTAAAGGAAGGCTGTTAACAATTTTCCAAATTTTGTTTTTGGTCTCAAACCACATTCATTGGTGCTCAATGAACACATCTGTTCATTTAAAAATCAGAGCTGGTCATCGCAATAGACTTTAGAGATATCCCAACTGGAACTTAGGTCTGCATGGGCCTATGGAATTGATGTTATTAATAAATCATCTTGGGTTACTTATTTCTTACTTGTGGTGAGGGAGGGATAAAGATGCAAATTTCCAACCAGGATAGAAAATGAAGAATACTAGCACTTGAGCAAAAACCTCAAGCAGAAAAATATGAAGAACAGAAAGGAGTGACAACAGTGGCAACAGCAGCCATATTTCAGTGCCTCCAAGTAGCAACAGTCTTCAGGATGGAGTGTGTTTCCCCCAGTGACTGGTTTAATAGAAGCAAGAAAACAGCTGCTAAGGAGAGCTATGTGACAAGGGGTAGGAGGATAAAGGTCTTATAAATGAGTAAAACAAACCTTATGAAACTACTCGATACAAACCTACAGGCTCAATGACTTTATATTGTTATCAGTCATTTCAAAAAGAAAAATTAAGGTCTTCTTTAGAGCAGCGCACAGAGAATTCTCCAGGGAATGACAGAGAGCAGAAAGCAGAAAATATATTCAGAAATGAACTACTGACGGCATATTTGACCTGTGACATTTTTGTTCTTCTTATCCTCTGGCTAAATTTCACCCTTGGATATATGTAAAAGCTCTTACTAAATTAAATGGAAGTTAAATGTGCATGCTCATAGGACAAATTTGGCCTGTAGTATCTTTCCAAGGATATTAATAAAGTACGAGAAGTGAAAATGATTGTTAGGCCATCAGAGTTCCTGCTTCAGATAAGAAATGCTGGGAGAGAGAGGAGACAATGCATTATTTTCTCCTTTGGAGAGGCTCCATGTCTGTGCTCTCTAACATCAGTACCTTCTCACTGACACTTACATGAGTCCACAGAAGCATGCTGTCTTCCAACTAAACAGTCTGATCCATGCAGCAGAAGGCTCCCAGACAATGTGAAAGCAGAATGGATTGTGAAATCGTCAAGTAAGGGAAAATACGGACTTTCATTCCAAGGTAAAAGTGTGAGTTATCACATTAACACATCTTTATTGGTGAGTGAGATAGGAATGCTACCGGGGAAAAAGTACTAGGTTGGGAAACCAAACAAGTGAGTGAGTCTAATGTCTGTTAGAAATGAGGTGTGTATCTTTGTGAATGCAGCAAATGACTTGGCTACACTAACCGTTGGGTTTGTCGCCTATAAAATAAAATGGTTGAGGAATTCGGGAAGGGATTATCTAGCTAGTTCTGGCAAAAGGCTGCTCATGTTGCAGACTGAAGGTAGCTGGAGCTTGGGAAAGGGTATGCTGGAGAAGTCAGAGCACACCCTAGGATTAATATGGTGTATTCTAGCTCCAATATTCTGTGGTTTATAAAATATCAAATTATCCATTAAAGTGCTCTACTAGCCATTAAAGACTATGATAAAAGTCATAAAGGAGGAAGAAAGTCAAAACAAAACTTCATCTGAGAAGATTCTGACAATGTTCAAAAAAAACCCCACCCTGTATAATAAGAGTAATAATAACGAACTGAGTAATAATAATTTATTTAGTAGCTACTACATAAATGTAGAGCTGTGTTGCAGATATGTTACATTCACCATCCCTAACCCTCACTACACTCTGCACATTAGGTGTGTTAGATTGTATTTTTTAAAGATGGACACAACAATATCTCCCATTACACATGCTTTTCTAGAACTTTGTCCCATCACCATCAGGAGGTGGAATCTAATTTCCTTCTCCTTGAATCTGAGTGGATCTGGGACTCATTTGTAATCATCAGAATGTGGCAGAAGTCACTCTGCAGGGGTTCTGAGGCTAGTTCCTAGGTGTGGCTCCTGTCTTGTTAGCTGGAATACTAACTCTCTTGAAGCCTTTAGTGTCTAAATAAGCAATCTGGCTGCTTTGATGTTGGTAACTGCCATGTTGTGAGAACGCTCACACAGAGAACACATGGAGAGGCCCTGAGCCAGTGTGAAGAGAGATAACAGACAACTCCAACTTTTCCAGCAAATTCTCTTCACATTGTTCCAGGTCCAGCCACCATTGGACTGTAAACACATGAGCAGCCCAATGCCAGAGCTAGCTAGCTAATCCCTTCCCAAACTCCTGATCCAGAAAAACTGTCAGAGATAATAATAGTAGTGTTATTATTTTAAACGACTATGTTTGGAGTTATTTGTTACTTGGCAATAGCTAACCAGCAGATTTCCGTACTTTTGGTACCTGAAATTGGGATATTACCATAAACAAAAATCTGTAACATTGGCTTTGGGACCAGGCAGCAGTAAGAAGCCAGAAGGGACTTGTAGAGTCTGTTAGTGAAAGCCTGAAAAGTTTTGAAGACAGTGTTAGCAGAAGCCTTGAGGGGCCTATTGGTGAGGCTTAAAGGAAAGTGAAGGAAATACTACTTGAGCTGGAGGGAAGGAAACTCTTTTTATGTAGTAGTGGGAAGTTCAGCAAAATTGTCACCAGCAATAATGTGAAAAATAGAGACTGTACCTAATGAACTCAAAGATGTAGCTAGGGAGACTTCTGGAAAATTGAGGGTGTTGAGGGTGCTATCTGGCTTCTCTTAGCTGCCTATATTAAAACGAGAGAAATGAATTAAGGAAAAGCTATTCCATTTTTGAGTGGAAGTTGGAAGAATTTTAAAGGATCCGGAACAGCCTTTTCAGTCAGCAAAAGGTTCTTGAGTTAAGAAATGGCTTCCTGGAAAAGATGACACCCACGGCGAGACTGTAAGATTCTTTATTAAGACCTCATAAAAATCTAGGGTAGTACCTCTCTGACCCTTTAGACAGAAGTTCTCCAAAGGATCAAAAGGGCATTCCTCACAGATACTCACAGTTAAACAATAGGGCTTCTAACGACTTTAAGGGCATTGCTGCACAGCAGGCTCACAGGGAACCAAAGTGGAGAAGGACTTATCTTGAAGAGATGCATGGATTTTGTCTAATGGAGTGGATTATAAATTAATATGCAGGAAGCCCATACATTTTCTAAGGATATTGTATCAGTTTGGGCTAAAGGAACAGAGATGGTATAAAGTGTAACGAAGTCTTTGGAACCTCAACCTTTTACAATTAGGAAGTAAGCTGAGAAGTTTCCTCAGTTGCAAATACAGATCACTTCTTACGGAACACAAGGGATGCCCCAAAGACTGCAACCAAGGACTCAGAGGGCAAAGCCAAGAACCATGGGAAATGACTCCCAAGAAGTGGAGCTGAGTTCCAGTGAAGGACCTGGAGATATGTGCCTGGATGGATTTTGTAATTGCTGTGTCTCAGTGACTGTTGTGTGCCTCCCCCTTCCTCCTTTTTGTCTTTTGCAGTTATCTAAGTTTGGTACTAGGCTCAGAATATCCATTGTATGTTATACATGTGTGGGGTGGTAACTTATATCTGTAGGTCTACAGTTGGGGAAGGATAGTTCTCAGGGTAAAGAACCCAAGGAACAACACCTGGACTTGATTTAGATCCTTGACCTTGAGCCTGATGCTTTCTGCAAGCTCTTGATTTTTATAGAAAAAAATATAGTCAAAAAGCACAGAACCTGTCATATTTATTGTTGTGACTTCCTTTTCTCATTGACATCTAAAGCACTGACTTAGGTCTTACTTCCTCCATGAAGCTGACTGCTTCATGACTGAAAATAAGCACCTTTGGAGCAGGAAAGAAGCTTGTGTTTGCCCAGCACATGATTCAGGGTTTTACATTTATTAAACATTATATGCTTGATGATAGTGAAAAAGCCTTACACCTTTCCTCCTTCTACAGAACCTAGGGAATATCCTCCTCCTTGCTGCAGAATTCTTAGTTCCAACACTGTCAATCCTGAATGACTCAGAAACTATTCATGCATGATAAACCATGTATATTATGGAATTTTAGCACTGAAAAAGACCTTAGAGGTCCAATAGTTCAACCCCTTCATTTTACAGATGAGGACATTGAGGTTTTATTGGTCAGTGGGATGATTTACCATAAAGTGGTTAAGTGACCTGCCCAAGGTTGTGTAATTAATGACAGAGCCAAGACTAGAAATTCCTCCTGTCATTACATTCCTTCCTTCAACAAACTTTTCTGAGAGCCTGCTATTTGCAAGGCATGTGACAGATTCTTTCCTTCTCTGTTTCCCTTTGTACTCACTAGATGATGTTCAACAGAATCAGGAAGCAGAGAAGCATTCAAGCCAGTCTACTGAGTCCCTTCTTAGTAGTTCTAGAAAAGGTGTGATGGGTGGAGGTGTTAAAACTATTGCCCTTGGCACAGTATTGTCTGTGAATTGGTACTATTTATGCCATACACTTTGTGTAACACCTTGCCACAGATCATCAAGAACTAGGTAAATTGGCTATTTTCCAAACAGAATATTTTTCTTGCTCAAGGGGCTACTTTCAAATTGTACACGATTTCATTTAGTTCAAAATTTTATAGCAATTGTTCTTACCAGCTGCTCTGGCCTATTTCCTAATCTTTCCCAAAACCTGTCACTGGCTTGCAGTAAGATGGAGTTCAACTAGGAGCTCCTCCTGGCTTTCAGAGCCTTCTTTTGGCCTCTTTCTATACACAGTTTGGTGAGGTCTTGGCATCTTTTATCAAAAATTTCCCCACTCCTTTTGTTGCACAACTCCCTACAGGAGGAATATTCTCCATTTCCAAGAACATTAAGAAGTTTCTTGATATTCTTGGAAAAAAGCTCACTGAAGAACCCACTTCCTCTTTAATCCTTTAGGGAATGCAAGTGTGGAAATGTGGATTCTCCCATCCTTACCACTTTCTTTTTTGTCTAATGTTTATTACTGACTTGATATATAGCTTGGAAAGTAAGGTTTATATCTGATGAGTGACTCTGGTAGTCTCTGGTATGTTATCACACACTCAAGAGAACTTAATACTTATCTTTTGAGTATAAAATTTCCCACTCATTTAGTTAGCTAAATCCCAGGAACATTGCTCAGTTTTAGTCACAAGGATGTTTATACATTAAGAAGTAGATACATCCTCTTCCTTAAGAAGATTTTAAAATTAAGGGTTTATTAAACAACTGACAGAAATTAACACTCAATGCCAAGAAGGAAAATACTGTATTTTAAAGGTTAAATAACCATAGGCATTTTTGGAGCTCTAGAGAAGAGGTAGATACTTCCAATAGTATTTTTATGAAAGAAATATGGAGAATTACATCATTTGAACAAAAGCATATGTTAAATTTAAATAACAAATCAATGCCTCTAGAATTCTGAAATCTTTCTCTAGAAAGAAATCCTAATGTTCCGACGTAAAAGAATGGGGTATTTTATTCATGGAGAGAAAAACTATTGTGATAATTTATTGTTCTTAATTTTTGGTTCTTTTTAATAGGAAAAAAAATCAAGATAAATGAATGGTTAGGTATTCCCACTATTTTAACCAAATAGGTAAAATCCATAAGAAATGTCCTTATGACAAGTTTTTTTTTTCATTTTTTACAGACAAAAAAAAAGATAAGAAAAAGTGTACAAATGTGGTGAATCCACAGGTACTTTTTAAACAGCAGGGTAGCTGCAGGATCATCTTTAATCAGCTCCCAAACATACTCTTCACATCAGGGGAGTTTCACAGGGGAAGTGGGGATGGGGACATCAGAGGCCTCAGAACTGCCCAATTTATTTAGGGAAAGGAAATACAGGTGGAAAAAATCTGTATCCACAACTCCCACTCCATGTTGGTGGTCACTCCCGAGCTAACTAGTCACCAACAACATTTCCTGCAGATGAGATAGTTGCATTCCCAAAGAGCCACAAAATGGGACAAATTACTGTAATTAAAACCCTGTTTCCACAGAGTCCTTGTTCTGCTAAGGCACTGGTGGAGGGGTAACTGTGGAGGACTCCGTCTGAGCTCTGTGTGCCACGTCATCATACCAAAGTGGAGCTAGAATGGGGCAGACACATGATGTTGGGTTTAGCGATTTGCAGCAGCGAGAGTGCAGCAGCCCATATGTCCGCGTGTCCCTGGAAGAGGAAGCACTTGGTACAAACAAGGCAGCAGGATTGGGCTCAGTGGGAACTTCCTCAGCAGCATCCTGCTCTCCCAGCCCCACCCTAGCTTGAGATATCAGCTCCCTGAGGGTAGGTGAGGCGATTGCCATCTTAATATGTGGTCCCTCTTTCCCCAGGGGCCACCTCTTGCCTTATCCCAGCTTTCCTTATAGTATATTGCAAAGAGCAGTGATTCTCTGGAAGGTTAAAGGTTTTACGCAAATAAAAGAGGTGGGGTGGTGCTATGATCAAATAAGCCTGAAAAATGATGGATTAAACAAAACAAATAGTTGTATGGGTGGATTAAAAAGATTAATTTCCTTTCGGTCAATCTATGCAGAGTATGACTTTTTTACGGGGAGGATGTAGTATTTTGCATCTCAAACTTTTCTGATCAGAGAATCCCTCTCTCACTGAGTTTCTGCCAGGACTATACTTCATGGAGAGGAGAAAAACAGCTTCCGGATGGGGGAGGGGATGGAGGAGGGAGCCCTTTGTCATGTATAAATGTGAACTGCTTTCTGAAAACTCTGAAAAGTAATGGAGGGGGATACCTTCAGGGGCCTGGGGACCCCAGAATAAGAAAGAAGAGTGAGAGCCAAATGTGAAAGCCATTTCATCTCAGGCTGCTGTGGTCTGGAGAAACTTGAGCTACATCTTCAAAAGTCTCCCTATCCCAATCATTTCTTCAATTCTATCTTTTCCTCAAGCTGCCAGCCTGTTTTTCTTCTTTCCCTTAACATTAAACCTCTAAACTGCCTGCTCTGCTTCTTCGAATCCCACATAATCGGCATCCCATTATGTTTTGGCTCCAGTGCCCACTATCTACCGACAGAGATCTACCTAAAGTCCCTCAGATTTCACTGTCACATCACACTTCATTTGCCACATGACCACAGGACGGATGGATGTCAACAGGGGAGGCAGAACCTTCCAATCTAGACTGAGTTTCGAATGGCTCAATTGGCTCCCATAATAGTGGCAGTGATAGAATTGCTAACGTTTTTTGACTACTTATTCTGCTCAGCCACTATTTTAGGCACTTCATATTAACACTAAATATTAACACATTGAAGACTCACAGTACCCCTGTGAGGGCATAAGTAACTTCCTTTTTTCCTTGAGTGGCAGAGTCCAGCCCCTACACTGTTATTCTCCCTGCTCATCCTCACTGGAGGGAATAAAGTTTAGAGAAAAGTGACTACCCCCCCAACTCCATCTGCAAGCCTGAGATGGTCGTAGGGTAAGGGTCATCTATTTTTATGAGAAAATCTTGTTTACAGGGAAATCCCCATTACACTCAATGTCTAAAGCCAACAGAAGCCTCTTGATAATAGTAAATTATCAACATTTTCACATCAAACCAGGGATGATGAATATAAATTCGTAAACTTATTATATGACTAAAATGAGGCAAATCCTGGGTGAATATAAGTTTATGCTTCAGGAACTCATCTTTATATTTTCAAGACCCTTCACAAAATTAACAAATTTAGGAATTCCACTTTGATTTATAGCACTTAATCAAGTTACTTAAAACGTCTAACTCTTGTACAGATTTACAAAACTGCCACCATGCTAGATTAATTGCTTGGGTCACAAAAGAAAGATTCCACACTGATGCTTTACAACTTTATATTTAGGTGCCTTGCCCGCCTTTGCAGGCAGGCTTCAGTGCAGGAGCCGTGTGGCCATGTGCAGCTCCTCTGTGGGGCAGCAGCTGGACTCCACTAAAAGTGGAAAACTGCTCGTTCTACATTAGACTCTCTTTCGCAATTTCGGTAAGTTCTTCAGTGACAGGAGCCAGCCTGCCAAAATGTCAGCAACAGGATTTGGTCCAACATAAACACCCAGCATTATGTGGCTAATGCACTGAATTAGAGTTACACTGCTACCCTCTATTCCTGCTCAAAAACGACTTTCCAGATCCCAGAAAAACAGATCTGTCAGCATGAAGATTGGGATAGCTGTCAAATAGAGAAGTCAATGCTGTTTAAGTCCCTTGTCATTAGCCAAGTCTGGGGAAGGCCGTAAGAGTTTCAGGCTTCTGATGCACCCCTCGCTTGGGTTCACCAGATCTTATTTTTAACTTCCCAAGATCCTAGGCAGATGGTTTGTGTGGAAAGGAAGAAATTGATGATTCCATGTGTTTACCAATCAATCAACTGTAGCACAAAGCCCAGTGTTCAGGGGTCCTAACCATCAGTCTAAGGCAGGCTCAGAACCCAAACCTGGTCCATACATTACAACGTGAGAAATTTCATCCACAGTGACAGATCCCATGAGGTTCGATGGGGCCAGACCTCTAGGGACAATACTGAAGTTGCTTTTGACAACTCTTCACTCTCCTATCATCCCTCCCCCCATCACGAAGTACTCAAGCTTCCTAAGTTTTCTATAATGTTCTGACAGATTCCATCTCCTTGTCCTCTTTACCTTGCAGTCCATCCCCTGTTCTGTTCCACTTCATGTTTCTGTAAGTGAACATCTAACAAACAGATTATAAACTATTGGTAACTAGAGAGCCAACTTAATTATTTTGGAAACTTATTCTTGTTGTTCATCTTTAAAGAAACGTTCTGTCCTATAAACTAGGAATCTAGGATGTCTTAGAGAAAGGAGAATTCCATAATTCCCAAACTTTAGGTTGCATCAAAATCATACAAAGAACTTGTAAAAATGCAGTTTGCCTGTAGTGGGGCCCATGTTCACTAATTGTCTGCATGCAGCTTGGGATTTGGCACTTTGAGAAACATGGGCCTATACAGAGACCAAAATTTTTCCTCCTTCCCAATTCCTGGATCCTGCACAATCTACATTAAAAAAATAATAACTCTTCCAATGATTCAGATGCAGCTGAGCTACAGAACTCATGATGAAAACACCAGTCTACGTAGTTCCCTTATCTCCCTCTAGAATATCTCCCTAATCAGCTGTTGATAATTTTAAAGCTCAATTTTAAAGAAACAGAAATCCTTCTCCCCTAGGTGACAGAGAGTTGCGGGTGAGGAGAGCTGGTCATTTAGAAGGTGAAGAAAGAACAGCACAATGAATGTTAGAGCAATTGTAGCTATAACAGAAAAAAGAAGGGTGGATGGCTACAAATTCTGACTGCTTCACAATTTCTTCCAGGGCAAACTTTTTTTGTGAAGGGCAGGATAGTAGATTTTTTTTCCTTTGTGGGCCATATGGTCAGTGTTGCATCTACTCCATCTATTGTTGTAGTGTGAAAGCAGCTATAGACAATATATAAACAAGTAAGTATGACTGTGTTCCAATAAAACTTTATGTATAAAAATGGGGGCTGGCCCACAGGGTGTGGGCCACAGTTTGTTGATGCCTGTTGTAGAGTCAATATAATAAATATTTTTAAATAAAATTATAGAGGAAGAGGAGATGATAACTTTTTAGGTTCTAACAGCATTTTAAAAATTGTTATAAAAAACAGCTAGTAAGGGAAAATTTGACTAGCGTACTTACTGAAAGTGAACCCCCCTTTGTAGGTAAATGAGAGTGGCATATTAAAGCCACCTGGCCTTTCCTGTGGGCACACAGAAGGGGAAATAAATAGAAAAAGGGAAAAATATGTTAATTTAAAAATAAACAGTTGATAAATGCTTTGGAAAGAATGAATAATAACCTGTAACTACAGGGTGTGATATGGAGATGCTGTGGAAAGAGCAAAGAATCTGTAGCCAAAAGACCTTTACTCATTATTCAAGTAAGTCCTAGGCACAACCTGTGGGCTGAGCACTGTGCTGGGCAGTGGGAAAACTGAGACCTGGCCCTTAGAGGGGTTAGAGTCCCATAGGGTACAGGCCCCTAGCCAGGTGGTTAAAACTGCATGTATAAGGGTAGTAGAGAGCCAGGGCAGGATGACTTGTCATAGCCTGGAGGTGCAAGAGGGCTTCCTGGAGGTGGTGGCACAGGCAGTGTCTTAAAGAATGAAGAGCAGTTGGCCAGATTTTTTTTTTTTAAAGAAAGGGGAGGGAGAAAAGGTATTATAAGAAGAGGCAAAAGCATGAGCCAAAAATATGAAGATAAGAAAGAGCAAAATAGTTAGCCCAAGCCTGGGGAGGGGAGAAGCCTTGGGCCAATGGGGCTGTGTATCCCACTGTAGGAGTATGGCATATCTGATTTACTTCCAAGTAGGACATAGTACCCCAGTATACCCAGTTCGTTTCCTTAACCCCTGCATACAACTCTGTAAGTAGTTCCTTCCTTAAAAAACCTCTTCAAAAATCCCAGCTGAGCATGCTACCTGTCTTCTGTTTTCCTCCTAGGACCAAAATGTTTGGCTTGAGAATATGGGTAAGCACATCCTCCCTTCCCCCTTGAGCTATCAGTAAGAAAGTCACAGGTCACCAGTAACTTACCAAATAAATCCCCACGTCTGTCCTCTTCAACCTCCCTCATATACCTTCAAGGTAGGTGGTGATGAGCTGAAGATAGCAAAATTGGTTTCAGCTTTTCCTGAAAGAGCTTATGATTTAGTTGGTGAGCTAGATATATAAGCTCCCTATCACAAGAAAGGATAAAGTAACTGCTCAACAGAGGAAGGTATAAGCAATGTACTGTGGTCCCTGGGAAAGAAGGTGGGGAGTTGTAGCTGGTGAGGTCCTGACCCCACCCAGGGAGTGGTGGAGATGATGTGTAGAGGTGTGTTTGAAGTGGAGCATGACATCTGGAGTGGCCATCATCAGGGAAAGACAGAGTAGGATGCACACAGATGGGGCTAGAGAAAGGGCTTGGCGCTGTGCTGTACTTGAAGTATAAACGTTAATGTGTCAGGGATGGGAAGGCATAGAAGGTTAACTGAATGGGTGGGGGATATCCAGGCAGTGCCAATGGCATGAAAAGTGATTGGAGAAGTTAAGAATGGACACAAAGAAACCAGTTGCAAGAATACAAGAGAGAAATTATTAAACGGAAAGACAGGTACACTTCACATCGGGAAAAGAAAGTCCCCAGAGTCCAGAGGGAGAACTGGCAAGAATAAATAAGCAATTCAGCTGTGGGAGACTAGGGGAAGGAATCTGAAATTAGGTGAAGCTTTCCCACTTAGACAACTGCAGATATCACTCATTGAGGTAGAAAATATAGGAGGAAGAGCTAGGGAAATATAATGCGTGAAATTGGAGGCACATTTTATTAAAGGTGCTAATTGAGGCACCCTGGGGGTTTTGCTACTTACTAATGTTACAATCTGAGGCAAGTTGCTTAACCTTTCTCCTCCTGGGTTCTCTCATCTACAAAATGAGGACAACAATGTTACTACTTCATAGGGTTCTATGAAGGTTAAACGGTAATGTAAGTAAAGATTTAGCACTAAGCCTGGCACAAAGTACTTGACACATGCCATCGTTGTTATCATAGGGTCATCTCTATAGAAATGGGAGTTTGGAGTTCAAGAGAGAAGCAGAGAGCCAGAAGTAGAGAGGTGGAAGCTCTCTGAGAAGCAGAGAGGTGGAAGCTCTCTTAGAAGCAGAGAGGTGGAAGCCCTCAGAGAAGGTAAGCAGGTTCTGAGAAGGACAGAAATCCTTTGGGGAGAGAGGGGAGTGGCATATAAGAAATGTAGCAAGATGGCCAATTAGAAGCAGCTGCAGTTTGCGGAACTCATGGAGAGGAATGGAAGGGGCGAGTGGATACAGCACCTTCAACTGAAATATCTAGGTTGTTGCATTGGGACTGATCAGGGAAACAACTAGACCCATGAAGAATGAAGAAAAGGGTGACGGCTTACTCGGGAGCAACACAGAGCCAAGGGAATTCCCACCCCTAGCCAAAGGAAGCAACTTCACCAGTGATACCTCCAGGTATGGGAAGAACTGAGGCAACCAGGGTCTAGAGCAGACTCCCAGCAAACCACAGCAGACCTATGAAGAATAGTCAGGCTGTTAAAAGAAAAACAAACAAACAAACAGAAAATAACAACAAATCACAAAAACCCTATCCAAAGGTCAGCAACCTCAAAGACTGAAGGTAGATAAGCCCACAAAGATAAGAAAGAATCAACACAAAAATGCTAAAAACTCAAAAAGCCACAGTGCCCCTTTTCCTCCAATGACCACAACATCTCTCCAGCAAGGGCTCAGAACTGGGCTGAGGCTGAGATGGCTGAAATGACAGAAGTAGGCTTCAGAATGTGGATAATAATGAACTTTACTGAGTTAAAGAAGCATGTTGTAGTCCAATGCAAAGACACTAAGAATCATGACAAAATAATACAGGAGCTGACAGCCAAAATAGCCAATTTAGAGAGAGGAGCATAACCGACCTGTAAGAGCTGAAAAACATATTACAAGAACTTCATAATGCAATCACAAGTATTAATAGCAGAGTAGATCAAGTGTAGGAAAGAATCTCAGAGCTGGAAGACTAGCTTCTGGATTAAGACAGGCAGACAAGAATGGAGAAAAAAAGAATTAAAAGGAATGAATAAAATCTCCAAGAAATATGGGATTATGTGAAGTGACTGAATATCTGTGCCTGATTGATATACCTAAAAGAGACAGGGAGAATGGAACCAAGTTGGAAAAGACACTTCAGGAAATCATCCAGGAGAACTTCCCCAACCTAGCAAGATGGGCCAACATTCAAATTCAGGAAATGAAGACAACCCCAGTAAGATACTCCATGAGAAGATCAACCCCAAGACACAAACTTCAGATTCTCCAAGGTTGAAATGAAAAAAGAAAAAAAATGTTAAGGGCAGCCAGATAGAAAGGCCAGGTCACCTACAAAGGGAAGCCCATCAGACTAACAGTGGATCTCTCAGTGGTAACCCTACAAGCCGGAAGAGATTGTGGGCCAATACTCAACATTCTTAGAGAAAAGAATTTCCAAACCAGAATTTCATATTGACCAAACTAAGCTTCATAAGTGAAGGAGAAATAAGATCCTTTTTAGACAAGCAAATGCTGAGGGAATTTGGTACCACAAGACCTGCATTGCAAGAGCTCCTGAAGGAAGCACTAAATATGGAAAGGAAAAACCATTACCAGCCACTAAAAAAAACACACACACACTGAAGTACACAGACCAGTGACACTATGAAGCAATCACATAAACAAGTCTGCGAAATAAACAGCTAGCATCATGATGACAGGATCAAATCCACACATAACAATACTAACCTTAAGTGCAAATGGGCTAAATGCCCCAATTAAAAGACATGGAATGGCAAGCAGGATAAAAAACCTAGACCCATTGTTATGCTGTCTTCAAGAGACCTGCCTCACATGCAAAGACACATGCAGGCTCAAAATAAAGGGATGGAGGAAAATTTACCAAGCAAATGGAAAACAGAAAAAAAGCAGGGTTGCAATCATTGTTTCTTACAAGACAGACTTTAAACCAACAAAGATCAAAAGAGACAAAGAAGGGCATTACGTAATGGTTAAAGGTTCAATTCAACAAGAAGATCCAACTATACTAAATATATATGCACTCAATACAGGAGCACCTAAATTCATAAAGCAAGTTCTTAGAGACCTACCAAGAGACTTGGGCTTCACACAATAGTAGGGGGAGACTGTAACACCCCGCTGACAATATTAGATCATTGAGACAGAAAATTAACAAAGATATTCAGGACCTCAACTCAGCTCTGGATCTAGTGGACCTGATAGATATCTACAGAACTCTCCTCCCCAAAACAACAGAATATACATTCTTCTAATTGCCACACAGCACTTACTCTAAAATTGATCACATAAATTAGAAGTAAAACACTCCTCAGCAAATGCAACAAAACTGAAATAATAACAAACCATCTCTCAGACCACAGCACAATCAAATTAGAACTCAAGATTAAGAAATTTACTCCAAATCACACAACTACATGGAAATTGAACAACCTGCTCCTGAATAACTCTTGGGTAAATAATGAAATTAAGGCAGAGATCAAGAAGTTCTTTGAAACTAATGAGAACAAAGATACAACGTACCACAATCTCTAGGATGCAGCTAAAGCTGTGTTACGAGAGAAATTTGTAGCACTAAATGCCCACATCAAAAAGCTAGAAAGATCTCAAGTTAACAACCTGAGATCACAACTAAGAGCAAACAAACCTCAAAGTTATCAGAAGATAAGAAATAACCAATATCAGAGCTGAACTGAAGGAGACAGAAACACGAAAACCCCTTCAAAAAAAAATCAACAAATCCAGGAGCTGGTTTTTTGAAAAAATTAATAAAAATAGACAACTAAGCTAGAACAATAAAGAAGAAAAGAGAGAAGATTCAAATAAACATAATCAGAAATGATAAGGGGGATATCACCACTGACCCCACAGAAATATAAACTACCATCAGAGAATATAATGAACACATCTATGGACATAAACTGGAAAATCCAGAAGAATTGGATAAATTCCTGAATACATACACCCTCTTAAGACTGAACCAGGAAGATAATGAATCCCTGATTAGACCAATAACAAGTTCTGCAACAGAGGCAGTAATAGCCTACCAACCAACCAGAAAAAAAAAAAAAAAGAAAAAAGAAAAAAGAAAAAGCCCAGGACCAGAAAGATTCATAACTGAATTCTCCTAGAGGTACAAAGAAGAGCAGGTGCCATTCCCACTGAAACTATTCCAAAAAGTTGAAAAGGAGGGACTCCTTCCTAACTCATTTTATGAGGCCAGCATCATCCTGATGCCAAAACCTGGCAGAGATACAACAAAAAAAGAAAACTTCAGGCCAATATTCTTGATGAACATTAATGAAAAAATCCTCAACAAAATAATGGCAAACTGAATCTGGCAGCACATCAAAAACCTTATCCACCATGATCAAGTAGGCTTCATCCCCAGGATGCAAGGCTGATTCAACAAACACAAATCAATAAATGTGATTCATCAAATAAACAGAACTAAAGACAAAAATCATACGATTATCTCAATCGAAGCAGAAAAAACATTCAATAAAATTCAATATCCCTTCATGTTAAAAACTCTCAATAAACTATGTATTGAACCTCAAAATAATAAGAGCCATATATGACAGACCCACAGACAATATCATGTTGAATTGGCAAAAGCTGGAAGCATTCCCCTTGAAAACTGGCACAAGAGAAGGATGTCCTCTGTCACCACTCCTATTCAACATAGTATTGGAAATCCTGGCCAGGGCAATCAGGCAAGATAAATAAGTAAAGGATATTCAAATAGGAAGAGAAGAAGTCAAACTATCTTTCTTTGCAGATGACATGATCCTATATCTGGAAAACCCTATCATCTTAGCCTAAAAGCTTCTTAAGCTGGTAAGCAACTTCAGCAAAGTCTCAGGATAGAAAATCAATGTCCAAAAATTGCTAGTATTCCTATATACCAACAACAGGCAAGCTGAGAGCCAAATCATAAATGAACTTCTATTCACAATTGCCACAAAAAGAATAAAATACCTAGAAATACAGCTTACAAGGGAAGTGAAGGACCTCTTTGAGGAGAACTACAAACCACTGATCAAAGAAATCAGTCATGATACAGACAAATGGAAAAACATTCCATGCTCACAGATAGGAAGAATCAATATTGTGAAAATGGCCATACTGCCCAAAGCAATTTATAGATTCAATGGTATTCCCATTAAACTACCATTTACATTTTTCACAGAATTAGAAAACACTATTTTAAAATTCATATGGAACCAAAACAGAGCCTGAATAGCCAAGACAATCCTAAGCAAAAAGAACAAAGCTAGAGGCATCATGCTGCCAGACTTCAAACTACACTACAAGGCTACAGTAACCAAAACAGCATGATACTGGTACAAGAACAGACACATAGACCAATGAAACAGAATAGAGAACCCAGAAATAAGACTGCATACCTATAACCATCTGATCTTCAATAAATCTGACAAAAACAAGGAATGGCAAAAGGAATCCCTACTTAATAAATGGTGCTGGAATCACTGGCTAGCCATGTGCAGAAAATTGAAACTGGACCCACTCCTTACACCACATACAAAAATCAACTCAAGATGGATTAAAGACTTAAATGTAAAACCCCAGAACTATAAAAACCCTATAAGAAAACCTAGGCAATACCATTCAGGACATAGGCATTGGTAAAGATTTCATGATGAACACTCCTAAAGCAATTGCAACAAAAGCAAAAATTGACAAATGGGGTCTAATTAAACTAAACAGCTTCTGCACAGCAAAAGAAACTATCATCAGAGTAAACAGACAACCTACAGAATGGGAGAGAATTTTTGCAATCTATCCATCTGACAAAGGTCTAATATTCAGCATCTACAAGGAACTTAAACAAATTTAGAAGAAAACAACCAAACAACCCCATTAAACAGTGGGCAAAGGACATGAACAGACACTTCTCAAAAGAAGACATACATGAGGCCAACAAACATATGAAAAAAAGCTTAACATCAATGATTATTAGAGAAATGCAGATCAAAACCACAAGGAGACACCATCTTACACCAGTCAGAATGGCTGTTATCAAAAAGCCAAAAAACAACAGATGCTGGCAAGGTTGTGGACAAAGAGGAATGCTTTTACACGGTTGGTGGGAGTGTAAATTAGTTCACCCATTGTGGAAGACAGTGTAGCAATTCCTCAAAGACCTAGAGGTAGAAATACCATTTGATCCAGCAATCCCATTACTGGGTATATACCCAAAGGAATATAAATCATTATATTGTAAAGATACATGCATGCATATGTTCACTGCAGCACTATTCACAATAGCAAAGACATGGAATCAACTTAATGCTCACCAATGATAGACTGGATAAAGAAAATATGGCACATATACACCATGGAATACTATGCAGCCATAAAAAGGAATGAGGTCATATCCTTTGCAGGGACATGGATGGAGCTGTAAGCCATTATCCTCAGCAAACTAACACAGGAACAGAAAATCAAATACCTCATGTTCTGACTTACACTTTCAAGTGGGAGCTGAACAATGAGGACACATGGATGCAGGGAGGGGAACAACACACACCGGGGCCTGTTGGGGGTTGGGCACGAGGGGAGGGAGAGCATCATGACAAATTGCTAATACATGCAGGGCCTAAAACCTAGGTGACAGATTGATAGCTGCAGGAAATCACCATGGCACACTTATGTAATAAACCTGCATATCCTGCACATGTATCCCTGAACTTTAAATAAAAGTTGGAAAGTAAAAAAAAACCAAATGTATATTTGGTCTCTGCCCCTGGTTCCTGACACAGAGCTCCTAAAACCCTCGGAATTTCCTGAGTGATAAGGATGCTAGGAACATCTTTTGTTCTAATATTTTATTTTTGACCCCAGTTCCTGATACAGAGCTCCTAAATCCCTTGGAATTTCCTGGGTGACAGGTGTATCTTTCATTCTAATGAGGTGACTCTTGGTGGGCTTCTGGATCACTTCAGGATAGGAACTGGCCACCAGAAAGAGCAGGCCATGATTAGAGGGTTGAAACTTTCAGACCACTACCCTCATCTTCACAGGAAGGGGAGAAGGGCTTAGAGATTGAGTTAAGAGCTTCTGGGCTGGTGAATATATCAAGGTGCTGGGAGGGCAGTGTGCAGAGGGAGGGCCTGGAAACTCCAGGCCATCCCCATGCCTTGCCCTGTGCCTCTCTTCCACTTGGCTATTCCTGAATTGTATCTTTATAATAAACCATTAAATGTAAGTGAAGTAACTTCTTGAGTTCTGTGAGCCATTCTAACAAATTATTGAACCTGAGGAAAGGTTCATGGGAATTTGTGATTTATAGAAGGTTAATTAATCAAGTCACAAGTACAAGTGGCAACCTGGGACTTGTGACTGGCATCAGAAGTGGTGGCAGTGTTGTGGGACTGAGCCCTTTAACTTGTGAGATCTGATGATTACTCCAGGTAGACAGTGTCAGAATTGAATTAAATGTAGGATGCTCAGATGGTGCCCAGAGAACTGGAGAATTGCTAGGAATGGAAAAATCCCACATATTTGGGGGTTAGAAGTGTTGTATGAGTACAGAAAAACAGTTTTTTTCTTTTAGGATAGAAGGAGATGACAAAATATTTGGGAGCCAAGGATTTGTGGAGCTGTTGCAGGCAGATGCAGAAGGTCCTGACCTTCCTAATAGGCCTAATCTGGTAATTTTTTTTGGAGGCCCTTGGTGGGCTGTTCCTCCATCACATGGGACATATGCAACCTGGGGGAGGGCGGTATACGTTTTTTCCCCACAAGGCCATAACCTACCATATAACTGCTTGATTCTGTCACAGGAAGCTTATCTCCTTTCCTTTCCTTTCCTTTCCTTTCCCCTTCCTTCCTTCCTTCCTTCCTTCCTTCCTTCCTTCCTTCCTTCCTTCCTACCTTCCTTCCTTCCTCCCTCCCTCCCTGCCTCCCTTCCTTCCCTCCTTCCTTCCTTCCATCACACTGGGTGTACGTAACCTGGGGGATGCCTATATATAATATTATTTCCCTAAAAGGCCATCTCCTACCACTTGACCACTTGATTCTGTCACAGGAAACTCTTCTTTTTCTTTCTATTCTCTTTCTTTCTTTCCTTTCTCTCTCTCTCTCCTCCTTCCTTCCTTTCCCTCTTTCTTTCCTCCTACTCCCCTCCCCCCACCCCTTCCCCTTCCTCCTCCTCCTCCTCCTCTTCCTCCCTCACAACCCCATATCCCTCTCCCTTCCCCTCCCTCTTCTCTTTTTTCTTTCTTCTTCTGTCCTCTTCCTCTGCTTTTCTTTTTTTTGTTGTTGTGCAGCTAGGTATCATGAAAACCCTCATAGTTCTAATAAAAATTGGAGCAAAGTTCACAAAGTGTGGTCCATGTGTTAGCAATGCATGGTCCCAGGTATCACCCACAAAGATTCTAACAGGGGAGTTCTACGTGCATTAAAATTTGATAATCAGGGTCGCTTCCAAGATGGCTGAATAGAAATAGCTCTGGTCTACAGCTCCCAGCGAGACTGACACAGAACACAGGTGATTTCTGCATTTCCAGCTGGGGTAAATTGTTCATGTCATTGGGACTGGTTGGACAGTGGGTGCAGCCCATGGAGGGTGAGCCGAAGCAGGGCAGGGCGTCGCCTCACCTGGGAAGTGCAAGGGGTCAGGGGATCTCCCTTTCCTAGCCAAGGAAAGCTGTGAGTGACTGTATTTGGAGGAATGGTACACTTCTGCCCAAATACTGTACTTTTCCCACAGTCTTTGCAAATGGCAGACCCGGAGATTCCCTCCCGTGGCTGGCTCGGTGGGTCCCATGCCCACAGAACCTTTCTCGCTGCTAGTGTAGCAGTATGAGATCAACCTGAGACGCTGGAGCTTGGTGGGGGGAGGGGCTTCCGCCATTGATGAGGCTTGAGTAGGCAGTTCTATGGTCACAGTGCAAACAAAGCGGCAGGGAAGCTCAAACTGGGTGGAGCCCACCGCAGCTCAGCAAGGCCTCTATAGATTCCACTTCTGGGGGCAGGGCACATCTGAACAAAAGGCAGCAGACAGCTTCTGCAGACTTAAATGTCCCTGCCTGCCAGCACTGAAGAGAGCAGTGGCTTTCCCAGCACGGCATTTGAGCTCTGATAACAAACAGACTGCCTCCTCAAGTGGGTCCCTGACCCCTGTGTAGCCTAACTGGGAGACACCTCCCAGTAGGGGCCGACAGACACCTCATACAGGTGGGTGCTCCTCTGGGATGAAGCTTCCAGAGGAAGGATCAGGCAGCAATATTTGCTGTTCTGTAGCCTCCGCTGATGATACCCAGGCAAGCAGGGTCTGGAGTGGACCTCCAGCAAACTCCAACAGACCTTCAGCTGAGGGGGTCTGTTAGAAGGAAAACTAACAAACAGAAAGGAATAGCATCAACGTCAACAAAAAGGACATCCACCCCAAAACCCCATCCGTAGGTCACCAACATCAAAGACCAAAGGTAGATAAAACCACAAAGATGGGGAGAAACCAGAGCAGAAAGGCTGAAAATTCCAAAAACCAGAACATGTCTTCTCCTCCAAAGGAACACAACTCCTCTCCAGCAAGGGAACAAAACTGGATGGAGAATGAGTTTGATGAGTTGAGAGAAGTAGGCTTCAGAAGGTTGGTATTAATAAACTTCTCTGAGCTAAGAAGCATGTTCTAATCCATTGCAAGGAAGCTAAAAACCTTGAAAAAAGGTTAGACAAATGGCTAACTAGAATAGCCAGTGTAGAGAAGAGCTTAAATGACCTGATGGAGCTGAAAACCACAGTATGAGAACTTTGTGGAGAATACACAAGCTTCAATAGCTGATTCGATCAAGTGGAAGAAAGGATATCAGTGATTGAAGATCAAATTAATGAAATAAAGCATGAAGACAAGAATAGAGAAAAAAGAGTGAAAAGAAAGGAATGAAGCCTCCAAGAAATATGGGACTATGTGAAAAGACCACATCTACATTTGATTGGTGTACCTGAAAGTGACGGGGAGAATGGAACCAAGTTAGAAAACACTCTTCAGGATATTATCCAGGAGAACTTCCCCAACCTAGCAAGGCAGGCCAACATTCAAATTCAGAAAATACAGAGAACACCATAAAGATACTCCTTGAGAAGAGCAACCCCAAGACATATAATTGTCAGATTCACCAAGGCTGAAATGAAGGAGAAAATGTTAAGGACAGCCAGAGAGAAAGGTCGGGTTACCCACAAAGGGAAGCCCATCAGACTAACAGCAGATGTCTTGGCAGAAACCCTACAAGCCAGAAGAGAGTGGGGGCCAATATTCAACATTCTTTTCTTTTCTTTTTTTTTTTTTTTTTGAGATGGAGTCTTGCACTGTCACCCAGGCTGGAGTGCAGCGGCATGATCTTGGCTCACTGCAAGCTCCGCCTTCCGGGTTCATGCCATTCTCCTGCTTCAGCCTCCCGAGTACTGGGTCTACAGGCACCTGCCACCACGCCTGGCTCATTTTTTGTATTTTTAGTAGAGATGGGGTTTCACCGTGGTAGCCAGGATGGGCTAGATCTCCTGACCTCATGATCCATCTGCCTCAGCCTCCCAAAGTGCTGGGATTACAGGCGTGAGCCACCACGTCCGGCTCAACATTCTTAAAGCAAAGAATTTTCAACCCAGAATTTCATATCCAGCCAAACTAAGCTTCACAGGTGAAGGAGAAATAAAATCCTTTACAGACAAGCAAATGCTAAGAGATTTTGTCACCACCAAGCCTTCCTTACCAGAGCTCCCGAAGGAATCACTAAACATGGAAAGGAACAACTGGTACCAGCAACTGCAAAAACATGCCAGATTTAAAGATCATCGACGCTATGAAGAAACTGCATCAATTAATAGGCAAAATAACCAGCTAGCATCATAATGGCAGGATCAAATTCACATATAATAATATTAACCTTAAATGTAAATGGGCTAAATGCCCCAATTAACAGACACAGACTGGCAAATTGGATAAAGAGTCAAGACCCATTGGTGTGCTGTATTCAGGAGATCCATCTCATGTGCAAAGACACACATAGGCTCAAAATAAAGCGATGGAAGAAGATCTACCAAGCAAATGGGAAGCAAAAAAAAAAAAAAAAAAAAAAAAAGCAAGGGTTGCAATCCTGGTCTCTGGTAAAACAGACTTTAAACCAACAAAGATCAAAAGAGACAAAGAAGGCCATTACATAATGATAAAGGGATCAATTCAACAAGAAGAGCTAACTATCCTAAATATATATGCACCCAATACAGGAGCACCCAGATTCATAAAGCAAGTTCTTAGAGAACTACAAAGAGACTTAGACTACCACACAATAATAATGGGAGACTTTAACACCCCACTGTCAATATTAGACAGATCAATGAGACAGAAAATTAACAAGGATATCCAGGACTTGACGTCAGCTCTGGACCAAGGTAATATCCAGAATCTACAAAGATCTTAAACAAATTTACAAGAAAAAAACAACCTCGTCAAAAAGTGGGCAAAGGATATGAACAGACACTTCTCCAAAGAAGACATTTATGCAGCCAACAGACATATGTAAAAATGCTCGTCATTACTGGTCATCAAAGAAATGCAAATCAAAACCACAATGAGATACCATCTCACACCAGTTAGAATGGTGACCATTAAAAAGTCAAGAAACAACAGGTGCTGGAGAGGATGTGGAGAAACAGGAAAACTTTTACATTGTTGGTGGGAGTTCAAATTAGTTCAACCATTGTGGAAGACAGTGTGGTGATTCCTCAAGGATCTAGAACTAGAAATACCATTTGACCCAGCAATCCCATTACTGGGTATATACCCAAAGGATTATAAATCATGCTACTATAAAGACACATGCACATGTATATTTATTGTGGCACTATTTATAATAGCAAAGACTTGGAACCAACCCAAATGTCCATCAATGATAGACTGAATTAAGAAAATGTGGCACATATACACCATGGAATACTATGCAGCCATAAAACAGGATGAGTTCATGTCCTTTGAAGGAACATAGATGAAGCTGGAAACTATCATTCTCAGCAAAATATCACACAAGGACAGAAAACCAAACACTGCATGTTCTCACTCATAAGTGGGAGTTGAACAATGAAAACACATGGACACAGGGAGGGGAACATCCCACACCCAGGCCTGTTGAGGGGTGGGGGACTGGGGGAGAGATAGCATTAGGAGAAATACCTAATGTAAATCATGAATTGATGGGTGCAGCACACGAACATGGCACATGTATACCTATGTAACAAACCTGCACGTTGTGCACATGTACCCTAGAACTTAAAGTATGATTAAAAATTTTTAAAAAAATTGATAACCGATGGACTACAGGGAATGGTTCCAGAGGCTGCCGGTATAAAGAATCAGAAATAAAAGAACCTTTGCCTCTGCCAAGAGACTGAAGGGTAGTGGTGATGTTTTGAAACAATATTTTTTTAAACTATATTATTTTCTTTTGTCCTGTGATTCTTTTTTGTTATCTAATATAAGAATTTGTGCATGTTTTAATTGCTGTCCTTTGGACATCTTCTGGAGATGCTGGTGGCCCCTAAAGAAGGGAGGTATTTCCGGGTTTTCTGAAAGTTGTCAGTTAACTCTCTTCTCCAGTCCTGTAAGATCTGGAGTCTCCAAGGCCTCCCACCTGCAGCCCATACCTGTCTTGACCATGGTAGGCTGCACATCATAGCCTTGGCTGCTTAGGTCTGAGGCTAGTCTTGCTCCTCCCAAGTCAGGGTTCTTAAATTCCCAGCAGTGAGCCTAGGCTTGTGTGTCTCTCTGTCACAGTCTTTCCCTTACTCCCTCTATGCTGGCACAGGTTATGTTTGAGAGTTTTCCCCCAGTTTCTTTGCTAATTGCTTTCATTTCCCATCAGAATACAGGCCCACCCTAAGCTTCAGTCACCTTGGCTGCGTCCCTGACATCTATCCTGGCTCCTGCAGATCCTTTCAACCAGAGGCCTAGATTCTCTTTCTTGCACCTCTAGCCACAGACTATGGTCTTATTGCAAATTGACTGATTATGAGGATCTATATGAATTCGAATGCTCCCTTTCTGACTTTGAGTTTTGCTTGCCTTCTGGAAAGAAATCCACTAAAACTTGGTACCATGAGCCAGGCACGTCTATATGTGTGTTACCCCTGCCTCCAATTAGCTCCTCAATAACCCAAAGAGGAAAGTACCATCTTCAGTTTTTATGTGAATAAGGGAAGTAGGGCTCAGAGATGTTAAATAATTTGCCCAAAATCACACAGCTATTGAGGGGATACAGATGATTCTAACCCAGGTCTTCATGACTACAAACTTCATGTTTGTTGTTCTGTTCATAATACCTGGCCTTCTGCTAGTGTTCCCATCTGAGTTTGCCATGACATTTGAGATCCTACAGCAAATGGTCTGACTGCTCTTCTGGGCTAGCTAGCCTGCAGCTAGGTTAGTTTCTCCCAGCACCTGTGGCATCTGCATCAGCTTCCTCCTTTTCCTCCTCCCTAGTGGACCCCCACGTGCCTAAGCCTGCCTAAGTCATGCAAGTAGGAGGTAATGGCAGGCTGATTACTTCTACATGCTCAGTCCCCACTCACCACAATCCACAATATGTTGAGACATTGTTACCTTGAAGCAAAGGAAGTTTAAGCATCAGGGCCCCTTACTTTCATGGGCCCCTGAGAGGGTCTTAGTAGTATGGGCACATGGTAAATTAGGTATAATCACAATTAGTCAAAACCTCTGGATCTTCCCACTCAGACTTCCCTCTCCATCACGTTTCCATCTAGTCTGGAAGTGTGGAGTGCTGAGTCACCATGGGCATTTTTAGGATCTGGCTAAGGGGAGCATTTAATCTGGGCTTGGGGTGATATATTTGTGTAGTTCTTAGTTGCTTCTGTTCATGCTTAAGTCACTGCTAGTGGTACAATTTCCACCCACTGTGCCTTCTCCCCTGGCATTGCAACATGCCAGGTCTAGAGGTCTGTTATGATATGAACACACCTTATGGCACCCAGTACTCTAGGATTCTGGTACTGGAATAATAACAAGGTTTGAATGTGTGGGTTTCTAAACAACTTTTGGCCAACCACACTAGAAAATTTGAGCAATCTTTCTATCCTCTCTATGGAAAATAATATTACAAAAAAAGTTTTTACATAAAGTGGTGATCAAAGATTTGGCAACAAAAAATGTTGAGATAAAGTGTTATAGAGATGTATCAAGCAGTTAATTAAATCTTTTTCTGGATTTGGTTATTTGTTAGCTTTTTACAATTTGTAATTTGCTGTGATTGATTTCTTTTTTCACTATTTTCATTATTTACATAAGAACCCCAATTTCATACCTACTTTTGAATTCATAATTGTATATTATTTTTCTTAAAAGGGGATCCCCAAATTGCAGTCCCCACAAGATCGGATCTTCCCCTGACAGTGACATTTATAAAATGTCTAGATCTAGGCATGTGACTTGTGAAAAGTCGAAGATTTTAAGAACAGCTTTATTGTTATTAGTGTTTTTCTCTTTCCTTTGGGAAATTAAATGGCTCAAATAAAGAACAATCTCTGTCCTTTACCTCCCTGGTACCAGCTGTAATCTAGCAGTGCCCATCCAGCGTCCATCAGCATTTAAGCAGAAAGGAGGACATGTGAGATCGAAACGGTCAGAAAAACCTCTTTAATGTAGGGCACAGAATTGGAAAATAATGCAAATGAGTTCTCTCAATGTCTATTAGTTACATACATACATGTACATAAAATGTGTAAGATTTAGTTTTTGCATTCTGGGGAATAACCTTGCAATACAAAGACATAAAATTACTCAAACTTTAGTATGCCCACTAATATTTTCTTTGCTGACAAACATATATAGAAGCTGTATGTAACAGTCATATAGGGAAAAAAGATGTAATGACATCTTTAATTATCTCATTTATAAAACTACTTGGATGAAATTTCCAAAAGTAATCGTTCAAACTCAAGGCTTTTTTTCCCCCCCGGGGATGATTTTCTCTACTATTTGGTTTAAGTGTTTTCAGGTTAAATGAATGGATGGACAAATGGAAAATAATATAACACTTGTTTGTGGATCAAAATTTGATTAATGATAGAAAGACCAGCATTGTTTTCACTGATGATTAAAGTGAACAAACCAAAGGAAAGCTTAAGTAATGTGTTTTTACATTAAATTGTGATGAAGTAGACCTATAATAAAATTAATGCTCTGAAACCTCAACTGGAAAAAGAAAATTATGAAACCTACTAATTTTTCAAACTATATGAAAAACCTTTTATATATAATGCACATTAAATTCATGTGGATCAGAATGAGGTAAGGAAAACATTTCAATTATGAGGACTGGATTTCATCCCATTCTTGAAGATCTTCTTGTAAGCCTCATTCTGTTTGTTCAGACAGAAAGGCTTTTTCACATTTTTATCAAACCTGAATGTCTAGAAACAGGAATGTAGGCTTTCACAGTTCAGGAGGATTTAAAAAGAGAACTAGATAACAAAGATCATGAATAGGAACCATATCGGAAAGCGAGAAATAGGAGTTGACACCAAAACGGACCTTTCCCTGGCATTTGATCTGTACCCACATGAACTTGGCCCACTCTGTGCCCTCTCCTTGGGCGCAATCATCTTTGCGTGCTGTTGTGGTCCAGATGTATTCCTCCCGGCTTACAGCCACCCCTTCACAAGTCCCCTGACCACAACTCTTTTCCATTTCTACTCTCCTTGTCACCACTCCTATTTTGATTCTTATCATTAAAACTTTCATGCACTATCCTAATAGAAAAAGCCATCTCAAACACTTCTCTTATATAGTATGTCTGGTGTGACAACCCGGAATACGACTAACATGTCATCACAAAGCCACATAGGAGATGTGGTTTCTCCACCCCTCCCACTGTGAGAGGGAAGGAAAAGCTGCCAGGGGTCCCTTTCCCCTGCTGACTGACTCTGGAGAAATACTCAGCAGAACAGAGGAAGGCTAGGTCAAATTCCAAGACAATAATTCCAGCAGTAGGAGAATATCTAAATCGACTGTGAGATATCATACTTATGCGTTATTAAAATCACTGAGATGGATCTATATGTATGAAAATGGATAAATCTCCAAGACATATTGAGTGTAGGAAAAAAAGTAATTTCAGAATAATAGTACCTAATCTGAAAATCCAAAATCCACAATGCTCCAAAATTTGAAATGTATTGAGCACCCACATGATGATCAAAGGAAATTCTCACTGGAGCATTGTGGATTTTGGATTTTTAAATTAGAGATACTCAACCAGTATGTATAAGGCAAATATTCCCAAAATCTGAAACACTTCTGGTTTCAAGCATTTTGGGTAAGAGATATGCAACCTGTGTCTACTACAATGTGTCATGTGGACACAGGGCTCTGGTACAGAGCAGGCACTTACATATTTACTGAATCTTGAATAAATGAATTTATGAAAAAATATCCAGATACAGTCACATAAAATAATGTTACATGTTTCAATGGATATATATATAAAGAGGAAACTATACATTATATATGTTAGATATATATTTATATAGTAAATACATGTTAAAAATATATAATCATTATATCTTATGTATTATATGTAAAATATTGTGTCATACTGTATATATTATAAAATATCTAATATATTATTTATATTATATAAATACAAATAAAATATAGTTATACTTTTAATGTATTTTAAAAGTAATGTATATATTATTTAAATATAAATAAATAAAGGAAATGATCTCATACCCACAGTTATTACTGGGAAAGTGGGAGAAGCCTGGGAGACTGGGGTGAGTTGTCAAAGAAAATTTAGTGTTACTTGTAAAGTTTTAATTTTTTTAAAAGGAAAACATGTGCAAGTATTACTTGTGAAATTTAAAACTTCTATGGCATCATTCTTGCTAAGCTTTATGGATGTGTTGCCACATGCAACAAAGAAAAATCTTAGAAAATTCTTATAGTGGCTGTACATGGCAAATCATGGGTTGGCCTTAATGATACAATGCCTAGATTACCAGAAAGCCAGCTAACTATGGTTGGTTCCCCTCACCCCTTTCCTGCTCTTTCTTGACCTCTAAAATCGCAGGAGTTAACTCTCAGTTAAATGACAGTTGTACCTGACTTGGAGGGGCCCTGGGAGCAAAGGAAGGTGAGTAGCAACATTTCAGAGTAGCAAATTTCATTCTCCTTCCTCCGACACTGTGGCCCTATCCTTCTTCCACTGGTTGATGCTCCTGCTCTCCAGGCCTCTAGGAAACGGGCATCCATACTGTACTGAAATACCCTACCCAAGTGTGTCATTTATCACAGCTAAGAAAGGAGGTGACCAAATGAAACACACTAAAGTAGAATGATTGCTATGCCCAGCTTAACCTTTTTAAGGTTATCTCCTTTACCCAAATGACACTGTAACTTAGGCAATTTCAAGCTGAGGGGAAAAGAAGGATATTTTGGGCAGAGCACCCCCAGCTCCCACCATAAGGTTTTACTATTAGGCATTAGGGAAAGACAGAAAGAAGAAAGTGTTAAGGAGACACTGAACATTGGTTGTAGTTGAGTCAGATGACTATCTTGCATTTGAACCTTTGGTAGGTTCAAACTGTTGACAGTGGATAACAAAGATTGAAGGGAATCCCTCTCCTTGGACACATGAACCACCACCTATGGCACTGTCATCTCCTGCCTCCCTCCACTTAGTGAAAAATGGGACCTTAAGCAGTGTCAATCTTCCATAAAACAAAACTATTCCACAAAAATGGTTAATTGAACACTGAAGCAATGAGTCTGGGGATAATGAGGTCCTGTGGGTTCTATTTGCTAACGGCAGGAATTGATTATTTCACACTGCACATCTAATTAAAGTGGAGAGGAGTAATGAGCAGTGAAGTTATAAAATGAATATGATAATCAATTAGGTTTTTACTTCTGCTTAAAATAATTTAGAATAGCCCATCTACTGTATATTGAAACTAATATAATCAGTTTAACAGACCTTGATGCATTCAGAGAGAACAACAGACTGCCAAATCCTGCCTATCTCCTCGTAGGACATTATCAAAACAATATCTTGAGCCTTGGTGAGAAAAATCACAAAAAAACCACATTAGGCAGAACATCACTTTTCCATTATGTCATACATACCAAATGCTTTCTGGTCCTGCTTATGTTTACAGAACAAAGTGGGTCAAAGGAATTTACTGAGATCATAAAGGGCAAGATAAATGCTGGAGCTGAGCACCCCAGTAGCTGCTAGACTTGATGGAATTAAAAATGGAAAATTAACCTATGACTCAGGAAATCAACCTTTTAGATAGTTCTGGAACACTAAGTGTGGAAGGACATTCATTTAATATAGTACAGACTAAGAACAGCACTGTGAGATTTACTAGATGTACTAGAAAAGCATGGTAAGATGAAAGAGCTAGTATGTGCACATGTGTGCCTTGTGTGTGTATGTGTGTGCTGTGTGGACTATGTGAGCTCTATGGTGTGTGTACATGAAAGTATGTACACACACATGCTTGCACAGCTGTGACTGAAGCAATTTAGAGTTACTCTGTGTTATTATATCTGAGTTAAGTGATGAGAACTGCAGGCTAATGGTTAAAAAATGTTCAACAGCTCTTTTTCATGTCATATCAGTGGATTGTAAAATACTGTGGTGACATATTTTACTGAGAGTTTTACTTTAATATGAGGAAAACGATTGAGCAACATAGGACTTGAAATATGAAGTACTATACTACAGTCTTCTAAAAAGAATACGCTGGGTGTTAGTTTGTGATCACAAATATATATTTCTACTGAAGAAAAAGGAAAAGATGTCATGTATATATTCAAAATCCAGACAGTGCTTGTACATCAGTTAGATAACTGTTAATAAGACCTGAAAGGGTGAGATAACTGTTCCATGGCACTTCTTGGAATGATCACTGTCTGACACTCGTTGAGCTTTTGTGGGTGAGGTCATTCGTATGCTGCAAAATGTCACTCCAGTCATTCAAATGGTAAATGCTTAACTTCTAGAGAAATAAAATTTCTAAAAAGAGATCTGTAAACACATCTCAATGGCACAACTGGAGAAGAAAACCCCATCATCCGAAAACTCAGAGTAGCCTTGAGTTGATGCTCATCATGCAGTGAAGATGGGAAAACTACAGGGTGAAACATTAATATCTCTTTGTTGTGTCTGTTAGCTTCACAAAAGCATTTGACACCATGCATGGAACTGAGCTCTGGAAGATACTAGGTGTGGCTGCATTGAGAAGTTCATGAACACTCTTAGGCTAGCCTGATTGCATGGTTGGTCAAGTTGGAGTGGGGGGTACCGAGACAGAAAATGTATAAATAATACTTATATTTCGGCTTGTCAGCTTGAGGAAACTAAGTGCAGAGTATTCCTGGGCATCTGAAAAACTTCCAATGGAATAGGCCACATTATTGATGAAAGTCTTTGTTATAAAACTTATTTCCAAAAATAACCATATACAAATGACTAGGCTCTAGGAACATATCCACAAGACATAGTTTATCATGTCATGGTTTTAGCCAGTACTAAGCATTGACAATAAATATGAAGAATAAATAGGTGGATACAGCAGCACCAGAAAGACTGTATATGTAGCAACAAAATGTTCAAGGGTAATGCTGCATGGCAGGTTTTCCTACGGTGTTTTACAGAGCATAAGCATCCTATGACATATTGACAGGTATTCTGAGGCAAAAGTTTGAGAAATTCTACATACTATAACAGCCCTGTCTCCCTCCTGGTTCCAAAACCTGGGATTCTGCGAGTCTAGGAAGGGAAATGGATGGAACAAAGAGTAGAAACCTGCCATGTCTGGTGTTAATATGACATGAAGATCAACTGCCCCCACATCCCACCCCGCTCCAAACAAAACAAAACAAAACAAAACAAAAACAAGCCAGCCGGGCGCCGCGGCTCATGCCTGTAAATTCCAGCCCTTCAGGAGGCCAAGGCGGGTGGATCACCTGAGGTCAGAAGTTCGAGACCAGCCTGGCCAACAGGGTGAAACCCCATCTCTAATAAAAATACAAAAATAAGCCGGGTGTGGTGGTGGATATCTGTAGTCCCAGCTACTCCGGAGGCTGAGGCAAGAGAATCGCTTGAACCCGGGGGGCAGAGGTTGCAGTGACCCAAGATCGTGCCACTGCACTCCAGCCTGGGCAACAGAGTGAAACTCCATCTCGAACAAACAAATAAACAAACTAACAAAAAAATAAATAAATAAGCCCTGCAGAGGTCATGCATGCTAATGAATCCATATAGACTTCCCTATTCCTCTTCCGGAGCAGTTTCTTATATACTAGCTATGAATCCCTTTACCATGGCAACATCACAAAAGAAAAGGGCCAGGAGAAGGGTTAAAGGTAAAAGACAGGATTCCAAGTTCAATTTGAATTTCAGATAATCAATGAATAATTTTTTGGTACAAGTGTGTCTCAAATATTGCATAAGACCCACTTATAGGAAAAAATAAAATAATTTTTTATCTGAAATTCAGATTGAACTGTCCTCTATTTTCGTTTAATAAAGCTGGCAGCTCCAACCAAAGCACATAGCCTGTCTATCAGTGTCAGAACAGTGCCCAACACAACACACAATTCTCTGAGGCCCAAGATGTTTGGAGAAGGGACGGTTGTGGAATCTCCAAGAACCTCTGCTCACTAAAATGCAGTAGAATAACCAAAAGCTAAGAACTCAGCAGATTCACCGAAGCACAGCTTCAGCCAGTGTTGCATAACTAGAAATTAGGGAATCAGAAAGTGAGGAACCAAATCAGCCTGAAATGCAGTTAGAGCGGATGTGGTACTATGTCTGAGCAAAGCTTTCTGGCTGAGGGAGGTTAAAAGACAGTGTAACAGGTGACAGAGGGCTTTTCAAGCAATGACTGAGGTTCCAATCAAAAGACAAACTTCACATATGCACAGTGGAAAACGGCTTCTTGCTTCCAAGGTGGGCTTTTCGGTCACACTCATTTCCCCTCACACACATATACTAATTATAATAAATATTGATAACATAATCACGAACACGAAAACCAGCTAGACCTAACTGTCATAGGAGCAGAGTGGTAAATTCTGGTTTGGGTTGTCAGAACAATTGATAGATGTTTTATAAAGATCATGTTTTTTGCTACAAACAAAGGCAGAGTTCATCTATCGTGTTTCCAAAATACATTCCCTACTGAATGCACTGCCAGAAACCATTTTCATCTTTGTTGGTATAAATCCCAGAAAATCAAATTTGAAAAATGAAGTGCTGATTGGAATTCTCAAACTCCAGGGTGAAGGCAGATGCTGTTACTCAGTGTAATTATTGTCTCTCATCACAGGATGAAGTCTGATTACATTATGGTCAGAGGGAAGTAACAGTTAACATTGTCAGATAGGAGGTTTCAGCATTCTCAGCTCTGTTTGACCCAAATCAAACAGACCAGAAAAAGAATCTCCTTGATCTAATTCTATTGCTCTTGCTTTAGTGTCTGTATGTTACCTCTAGAGTGGGCTCTGAGGAGGCCTCTGAGTAGTGAAGACATATTTAGGAACTTAGAATTTAGGAGATACAACACCAATTTTATAAACATCCAACTTAGGAATGACCCATATCTATGAAGCCGCAAAACTGTTGCTACTGTTTCAGGAACGGCCTCCAAGTCAGTGCCCCCATCCCTAGGAGAGCTGCTGCAGCTTCTGGAGCCACACTGGGTTGTCAAGAGATGAGTATGTGAGGACCATACCAACTGTCCCCCTAAAAATGTAGGGAAAAATCTACTGGAGAAAGATAATTTCCAACCTCTTCCCAAGCCTTTCTGGGCAGTACCTTGGTTCCAACTTCCACAGGATGCTGTGATTTCAATGAGAGTCAGTCAATCAGAAGCCAGCTGATCTCCTCCACCCCCATTCTACCACATCATCCAGGAAGAGTTCATTTCAAAGGGAATTCTCAGAAGCATATCATTAAAAACCCAATAAGAGACTAGATCTGCTGCACTTACCAGGCCTGTACCCTCAAGGATAATCAATCTTACCATGACTTTTATCCTGTCATCTTTGGCCACCCACAAAATGCAAGACCCTCCAGGCAACTGTCATCCCATATATTATTCTCTGCTTCCTTGCCCCACCTCTGTCTCATCCCACCCATTCCTCCTTCCACTGCTGGCCTCCCTGAGAACCTGCCCACTCTGCTCTCTGGAACCCTCATTCCATTGCAGTTTAACTCTCCCACACACTCCACATTTTCATGGAATTTTCCTTCAGCCTTTTCCCTTCACTGACATCTCACTTTCCCCTTAAGGACATTGCCTTCTCTGGAGCCCTATCAAGGGGAGGATGTTTATTCTCCCACAATGTAAATATCAGAGGGGCCAGAGACAGTGTTGGCCTTCTGGCTCCCAGATACCGTTTCAGAATTAAAAACTATTCCTCCGTTGAGATTTGTAACATTTGGTCCCACTACCCACTCTTTCCAGTGATGTAACTTAAGGGTGCCCTGTGTATATTGGATCAAAGAGTGAAAAAATCATCCAGTACCCCCAGCCAACCTGGGCTCCTGGTTCACAGTTTTCCTACCCACCTAATTTCTTCTCAATATCTTGAATGACTGCAGCACCCACAAAGGAACTCCATTTAACAACTCTAGCCTCAAAATTCCTTAATCTCCAATGATCTGTGTGACCACTTCTGTCTCTACTTCTTTACCTCCTAGTTGTCCATCTGTTACAGTGAGCTTTCTGCCTGCCCCTACACTCTCTGAGACTGCTTTGGCAAAGGTCACTGATCACTTTCCACCCAGATCCAACAGATTCCTTGAAGTTCTCATCTTACTTGACCACTCTGCAATGTCCAGTACTGTGAACCACATCCATCTCCTTCAAACTCAACCTCTAGCTTTCCTTCTGAGATCTTGCTCTCTTGCCCAGCTCTCTTCTGCCTTTCACAGTTCTCCTTTGCTGGATCTTCTGCCTCAGCCTACTCTGCCAATACTGGGGCTCCTTAATAAGCATTCTGCCTTTGGTCCTCTTTTCCTCTTTTCCTGGCTACCCTTCTCCTTATGAAATGAAACTATAACTGAGGCAGTTTCAAGCCTTGGACCCCCTTATCTGCTCTCATGGCTACAACAGTCAATTATACATTCATTTCTCTAATTAAGCCTTTGCTTTGAGCGCTAAAGCTATACATTCGTTTGCATAGACATTCCCATCTCGTGCTCATTCTTAACATATGCATAATTTAACCAATCAACCCTCCCTCCAAACCTACTTTTCTTGGAAAATGGCACTGTATCCACTCAGAAACCTGAGTGTAATCCTAGGTTATTCATCTTACCTCCATTCTAATCAGTTCTCTTTGCTATGTATCTCAAATGTTTGTCTCATCTTTTCAGTCCCTACCGTGGCTGGCTTGGTCGAGGTCCTTATAATTACGTAGCTTGACTGCTGTTACAACGTCCTGTCTACCTTCCCTCCAGTATCCAAATTACTCTGCACATTGCTATCAGTGCTCTTTCTATAACAGAAATATGGCCATGCTACTTTTCTGTTAAAAAGCCAGAACGGCTCCCTACTGCCAAGAAAATAAAGTTCTAAATTCAAAAGCATGGCTTTTAAGCATCTCATGAACTGGTCTCTCTTTAGCTTTGTTTCTTGCTAAACACCATCCTATCCACACAAACCCTACAATCCAACCCAACCAAATGCTTTTGCAACATCACAGACCCTCTGTGTGTCCTACACCTCTGCACATTTGCTTGAGAAGTTCCCTAGGCCTCAGTGCTCTCTTCTTTACTTCCCTCCCCTATTAATTCTGCCATATATATATATATATATATATATATATATATATATATATATATATATATATGATTACTCTTTGAAGATGTTGTTCAACTACTACCTCTTCCAGACAGGTTTTTCCTAAACCTATCTGGGAATAGTTGGCATCCGTTTTCCATGTCCCAGGGCACCCTGTACATCTGTGCACCATAGGTGCTCTTTGAGATTGTGAGCCAGTTGACACAGGTACTGGGTCTCATTTACCTTCTAAACTCCAACACCTTGTACAGTGTCTGGTACCTAGCTTGAATTCAATGAATTTTTATTCAATGAATGAATAGGAGCCACTGCTCCTTTAGTTAAGGATAGGTCTTTATGCTTCCCAGTGCTCCTGCAGTAGAATGTCTTATGTTCTCCACCTCATTTAGAATAGCACAGTACTTCATGTGTTTCACAGAGTAAATACATGATTGGCGAAAGAATAATGTTTTATTTCCAAAGTTTGGGCAAGGCTGTGTGTGTGTGTGTGTCTGTGTGTGTGAAAGAGAGAGAGAGAGAGAGAGATAGAAACAGAGAGAGAGTGAGAAAGAGAGGGACCTTCTGTTCCCTGACAGGGCTTGTGCTCTTGGCATCCAAAGTAGAAATACAGCATATATTTTGTCATGAAAACAATGTTAAAAATAGTGATTAGATTACATAATTCCTATACTTATTCAACTTTATGGGCCATATTACTATAGAGTTACATTGTGGGCTTTAAAGTTATGTAATTCAGCTAAATTAGGGACTACGCTGGTATCTTGGAAATCCTGGAAAACTTACTGGCTGTGCTAGATACTGTGATGCGCCATCCAGATACCCCTTGAAGAATAAAGGTCGTATTCCTCCAGCTGCGGGGAGCATGTTAGAGGAAAGTACTCACTGTCAAGCCTATCTGGGGATTTTCTCAGCTGGAAAAAACCTGCCTGATTTAAAGCCATGCTCCTTACAGGGGCAGGACTACATCCAACGACTGACCATTGTGAGGGTAGAAAGGCCCTGTCCCCAGCCATAACTTAGGACAACTCTGAAAGGCCTGCCCAGCTCCAGAGCCCCTTGTTAGGTCAACTGAGGCTGTTGTCAGCTGGCAAAGTTGCAATACAGCTCATCTTCTCCGTCCTCTAAGTCCTGCTCCTGTCCTCTCACTTCCACAGGTGTTGGCCCCAGGGGCACGCCCTAATAAGCATCCAGCTCAGACTTTGCTCCCCCAGGAATCCAGCCTACTAATATATGGGGAAATGCAACCTGAGCTCAAAATAATCCACTGGCAAAGTAATTTGGGGATGCAATGTTCAATAAAATGAAAATTATCTGTGTTCTGACTCAGGCTTAGTATTTATAATCTTTTATCCTGGAGCCAAAAGATAGGGTTCCCATGCCCAGAACCATAGTTAACTTTTCTGTTGCCTACAAGTAAATCAGTCTGGGCAATTTGTCTTCTATGATTGTTTGGTTAGGGTTCTTTACCAGGCCTGAGATGAGTGCCCTCTCCCCAGAATTTTTTTTATTTTTTAGAAAAGGTCTCACGTTGTCACCCAGGCTGGAGTTGCAGTGGTATGATCTCAGCTGACTGCAACCTCTGCCTCCAGGGCTCAAGTGATCCTCCCACCTCAGCCTCCCAAGTGGCTGGGACCACAGGCATGCACCATCATGCTTTGGCCTCCAAAAGTGCTAGGTTTACGGGCAAGAGCTACTGTACTTGGGCCCCAGAAGTGTTTGAATGGAGGTTTGAAGGTATTCCTCCTATTTGAAGAATTCATTTTCTTGAGTAGGCAATATTCATCCTAGTTTATAGACACAACTGAATATAAATAGAGCCTTTTAGGCTGGGTGCAATGGCTCATGCCTGTACTCCCAGCACTTTGGGAGGCTGAGGCAGATGGATCACCTGAGGCCAGGAGTTCGAGACCAGCCTGGCCAACATGGCAAAACCCCGTCTCTACTAAAAATACAAAAATTAGCTGGGCATGGTGGTGGGTACCTATAATCCAGCTACTCGGGAGGCTGAGGCAGGAGAATCCCTTGAACCCAGGAGGCGGAAGTTGCAGCAGGAGAATCCCTTGAACCTGGGAGGCGTAAGTTGCAGTGAGCCGAGATGGCTCCATTGCACTTCAGCCTGGGCGACAGAGTGAGACTCCATCTCAATAACTAACTAAATAGATAAATAAATAAATAAATAAATAAATAAATAAATAAATAAAGCCTTTTTCCCCAACCTCAGGGCAAACTGAGAAAAATGGGCATGTGATTCCCCCTACAACTAGATGGGAAAATGGAAATGTTGGTCGGGATTCTACTTGTTTTCTCTTGGTGATTCTAGAACAATGCTCATTTGTTTTGTTGAAAATAAACAAACAAGCAAATAACACAATACAAGCAACTCTTTTTCCATTTCAGATTCATTCCACTTAGCTATCTCTTCCTTTACCCTCTACTCTTCACTGTCCTTGGCAGACCTCCCTTCTAGTCATTTCCCTGCTGTCACTGGCTACTTGGATACCAGAGTCATGGGCTTCCTCTATATGTCCATCCCAGCTGTCACCTTGGACAATTTTAATATCCATAGGGAATAGGTATGCATTTTACCAAGCTTACTTTCTGTCTCTTTGATGCCTCTGGTTTGAATCCTCTACAAACTTAGAATCTGTGTTTTTTGTTCTGATCATACCCTTTTCTCCAAAGAGTCTGGAAGTGATGACTGAATGGAATACTTTTTTGCAGAAACCCTCAACTATCCAGTCCCTTTTCTTGTGCGTTTATTACACTGAAAGACAGCTCCATCAACCTGTTTATCTCTCCCACCAGATTAAAAACTCCTGAGGTGCTCATAAATGGTGACTTCAAGTTGAAGACCTTAATGGGATCACAAAGACTACTAGACAAAACAAATACTCACACCAGAAAGCAGAGATCCGTGTACTTACTCACTCTCATGTGTGCATTATCTTTCTCTCTCTCCCCCACAACCCCTTCTTTATCAGGTATCATTTATTCATTTCATCCAAGCCATATAGCCTTCAAATAGGCAGGATACAAAGGTGCATTTCTCTGATGTAGCACCTAGAATAAACCTTGATAACTGTTTGGTCAGTACTGTGCTCTGCAAAAGTGCGATTGACCACAGAGCTATAGAGAAGTCAATGGTCCATTTACTGATTGTTTCTTTAATTGCATTCATGAGGAAATGCAAAGATCAAAGTGTGGTCAGTTCCAAAAGAGAGGATGAGATGGATCATGGGTGATTTCAAAGCAGAGGTAGGCATTCATGCTTAAGGCCTGCAACAAAGCAAGCTGGAAAGAACCTTAGAAACAATATGATTTTTATTCTATTTCTCTGGTTGCTTTATGAGTGAGTTTTACCTCTATCAAATTCTCCTTGAGCTTTTCTTTTAAACCTGTTAGAGGATTGGGTATATTGAGACTTTACAAATAGTAGTTTGTAAGCAGTTTGTAAAGGCTTAATATACTCTTTGAGCAAGAGTAAAACAAACTCAAGGAACTGACTCAAGGTTTGAAGCAGCAGCCTAGGGAAGCACCAGCTCCACTGTTCTCCTTCTTGTGTCTATAGCTGCATAATTAGCATCTAAGTGCCAGAAGCACTGAGAAAGCTGGGAAGAGAGAGAAGCAGAGCCTTCCTTTATGCCATGAAGACCTGCGGTGGGCTCCCTCCCCTCTATCTCCCTATGTTCCTCTCCTCTTCTTTGTTTCCAATTACTCCCAGCCTGGTCTATTACATTTCCTAAACTATTTACTTGCTCTCCAGGCACCTCATCTCCAATATACTCCAAAGAGTTCCTTTAAAAATACCTCCCCAGAGCACAACTATCACCATAGCCCCTTCTGCTTTGGTGGTTCTCTTACAACCAAATGGAAAAAAAAAATCCCCTGGCTTGGCATTCAAAGATTTCTATAACATGACTCCACTTATTCAATAAAGAAAAGTAAGAAATTAAAACAATATGAAAGCATACAAAGTTAAAAGAAGTTCCCATCTATTCCTTTACTCCCTCTCCCTAAGGCAACCATTCTAGCAATTTCTCACTTATTTTTCTAGCCTTATTTCTTCTGATTTCCTGCACACCTCCAAAGCTCTGGCTAAACAAATATCCCTGCCAACTCTACACGGGTTTCCTTGTGTCCCTGCTCCCAAGACTTTGCTCATATTATTCTTTTTTTAACTTGTATTTTTAGTTGTAAATGGACAAATTATCATTGTATATATTTATGAGGTACAAAGTGATGTCATGATTTATGAATTCAATGTGGAATAATTAAATAACACTAACATATCCATCACTTCAAATACTTATCATTTCTTTGTGGTCAGAATATTTGAAATTTACTCTGTCAGCAATTTTGAAATGTACATTATTTATTATATTCATTATGCAGTACAATATATCTCAAAGTAAAAGACAACACTTCTCCCATCTAGTTGAGGCTTTGTACCCTTTGACCATCATCTCCCTATCCCCTCCTCCCAGCTTTTGGTAACCACCATTCTACTCTCTGCTTCTTTGAGTTCGATTGTTTTAGATTCCATGTATAAGTGAGAACATGTGGTATTGTCTCTCTGTGCCTGGCTTATTTCAATTAGTATAATGATCCCCAGTTCCATCTATGTTGTCACAAATGGCAAAAAGTCTTTCCTTTTAAAGGTTGAACAGTATCGCATTGTGTATCTGTACCACATTTTCTTTATCCATTCATCTGTTGATGGACATTTAGGTTAACTCCATCACTTGGCTACTGTAAATAATGGTGAAGTGAACATGGGAATGCAGACATGTCTTTGACATCTTGATTTCAAATCTTTTGGATACATATTGATTTCAAATCCAGAAGTGGCATTACTGGATCATATAGTAATTCTATTTCTAGTTTTTCTAGGAACCTCCATATAGTTTTCCACAATGGCTGTATTAATTTACATTCCCACCAACAGTGTACAAGGGTTCCCTTTTCTCCACATCCTCCCCAACACTTGTCATCTCTTGTCTTTTTGATAATAGCTATTCTGACAGGTGTGACTTGGTATCTTATTGCAGTTTTTAATTTGCATTTCACTAATGATTGGTGATATTGAACATTTTTTCATGTATCTGTTCATAGACTGGAAGAATTAATATTGTTAAAATGTCCATGTTACTAAAGTGATCTATAGATTCAATGTATTCCCTATCAGAATTCCAAAATCATTTTTCATTGCAATAGAAAAAACAAATTCTAAATTTCATATGGAACCACAAAAACCCCTGAATATCCAAAGCTATCATGAGTAAAAAGAACAAACAGCATGGTCCTAGCATACAAATAGACTCATCGACCAATGGAACAGAATAGAGAGCTCAGAAATGAACCACACATGTAGACTCAACTGATTTTTGACAAAGATGCCAAGAATACACAAGGAGAAAAAGAGACTCTTCAATAAGTGGTGTTGGGACAACTATTTATATGCAGAAGAACAAAACCGGATGCTTATCTCACACCATATTCAGAAATCAACTCAAAATGGACTAAAGAGTTAAACTTATCTGAAACTGAAAAATTACTAGAAGAAAAGATGGGGGAAAAAACTACATGACACTGATCTGGGCAATAATTTTTTAGATTTGACCCAGAAAGTGTAGGCAACAAAGGCAAAATTAGACAAATGGGGTTACATAAAAATAAAAAGCTTCTGCAGAACAATGTAAACAACAGAGAGCAGAGGCAACCTATGAATTGGGAGAAAATATTGTAAGCCATACAGCTGATCAGGGATTCATATCTGAAATAGATAAGATATTTATAAGAAAATCCAATAACTCTACAGAAAGAAAACCAATAATTCAATTTAAAAATGGGTGACCTGGCCAGGCGCAGTGGCTCATGCCTGTAATCCCAGCACTTTAGGAGGCCAAGGTGGGCAGATCACAAGGTCAAGAGATTGAGACTATTCTGGTTAACACAGTGAAACCCCGTCTCTACTAAAAAATACAAAAAATTAGCCAGGCGTGGTGGTGGGCGCCTGTAGTCCCAGCTACTTGGGAGGGTGAGGCAGGAGAATGGCATGAACCCAGGAGGCGGAGCTTGCAGTGAGCCAAGATCATGCCACTGCACTCCAGCCTGGGCGACAGAGCGAGACTCCGTCTCAAAAAAAAAAGGGTGACCTGATAGACATTCCTCTTAAGAAGACATATAAATGTTCACATTATTCTTTAAGACTGAGATGTTCTTTCTTCCATCTTTGAATGTCCAAATTCTGCCCATCCTTTGAGATTTAACTTTCATGTCACCTGCTCTGTAATGCTTTTCTCAACCTACTTATTAAATCCTCTCCTTCTCCTTTGAATTCACAGAGTATTTCTTCCAATTCCTGCTTAGAGCACTTGTTATTTCAGTCTCTGCTCTTTGGGTACAAAGCCAGCCTCCACTGTTTAAATGTAAGCTCCCCAAACCAGAGACCCATTCTCCGTTCACCTTGGCATTGCCTACAGCATGTACCCTGGTACCCTGGGCCTTTCTATATACACAGCAGGGACTCAACAAATTCTCATTGAGGAGGAGATAAGGGTCTGGAGCCTCCAGGCTACAGCTTTGGCTTTCATTTCACCTTTTAAAATGCCAATGGCATCATCTGTGATGAGTGGGTTCTGTTGGTATCTCAAAGAGTTAAAGGAGGTGGTGAGTCATCAGGGCTCTCAGAACACTGACTGGTTCCAGGTGACTATTTAGAATAGGCAGTCAGAAAACTAAAACAGAAAGAAATTTTTAAAAAACTCCAACCTTAAAATGCCTCCTATTTTAAAGTGAACAATACAACTCTTTCCAAACTACGGAGCGGAACAATCTCTCTCATTATTTCAATGAAACCAAAACAGACATTTAAACTCCAAAACAACAACAAAAAGCCCCAAAGCCCCTAACCTTCCTTGGCCATGTCAGGCTGCTTGCGCAATGACTCTGCAGGGCTCTCTAGGGAACCATGAATTCGGTTTCATTTTCTAATCTGAAGGGAGTTATTTTCAGCATAAATTGGTAAAGTGGAGGTGAATGGGAAATGAGAGAGGGTTGTCAAAGGGGAGACAGTTTCACAGCAGTTTCAGAGATGGTCAGATTTACTTACTTTCTGCATTAGAAGCAGCCCTAGGGACAGTTAATAGAAACTGTTAACACTGACATAAGGCAGAAATTCTTTCAAAACAACATACTTATTAATTTTTTTGTATTTGGTTTAGTTTATACAAGCCTCTTGTATATAAAATAATGGAATAATAAAAGCCTGATCAGCTCCTAGAATCTTAAATATTGTAATGAACTATCCCATTACCTGTTGCTTTGCCGCCTTGATTCATCCACAACAATTTTCATCCTATTTGTAGTTTTGCCAAAAAAAAACACATCAATCCCCAATCAATCCCTCCCCCAAATGGTGAGATCATTATCATTCCATTTGTGAGCCTACCTCTGCTTAAAGTTATTGGTAGAACTATATCCAATAACAGTGAAAACAACTCAAAAACCCTTTCAGATAGAAGTCTCTTCTTCAAAACTTTAACCTCATTTGTATTTGGACCTTACAAAAAATTTCCATTCTTTTTTCAATGATTTTCTATTCAAGTAAACTTTATTCATTCTCCAAACAAAACTCTAGTCTGTCTCAATAGCAATATCAAGGGAGGAAAAGAGTTACTGAAACTCTTGACTATAATTATAAGGAAGGAGAGTGATTATAAGATGCTGTGGGGAAGAAGAATTATGAGAAGGGAGATGGTGTGGGCAAGAAGACATAGAAATAGAAAAGGCCTGGCACACAACAAGGGGCTGGGCAGTGATATCTGAGGCCATTTCTGCATGGGTACAATAGTGTGTGCCTTTGGAAAAGGCCAGTAAACAGAGCTCCTCCTCTATCATAAGCCATGAGGTTCTAACATGAGTACCGATTTTATTTCAGCAGAGATGCCAATCCCATGCTCTCTATAGCCAACAATGTCAATTGGGGAAATTGTGGGGCCAGGGAAGGCACTCACGGTTCTTGTCTCCATGAAAAGCCTCACCAGCCACCCAGACACCAGGGGGCCAATCCTCACCCTTACCCCCAGCATCCAATCTGCCCCAGATCCCTGTCCACTCGACCTCATAAATGCTTCTGATGCCCCTGCCTCTCTCTCATCATCCCTGTCCTTTGGCCTGGACTTCTGCTATGGCCTCCTAACTTGTCATGCAGTCTTAGTGTCCTCTGTCAATCCCTTCTTCCCATGTCAATCAACCTGTCGTCCCAGCCTTTCACTCCCCAGATCCTAACCACACCTGGCTTTTGTACTTCCTAAAATGCTCCTTCCACCACAAAGGCCTGGAAAGCTATTCATGCCATTGATTCTCTCTGCTTGTAATATTCCTTCTAGCCACATTTCTACCTTCACCCCCGCTTTTGGGATTTTCCTGGTCTTAACCGGAGGTTGGCTTCCTGGTATGTGCTTTCTCAGTAATACAGACGTGTACTTCTGTAATCGATTGTTCAGTGGCTGTCTTCCCTGTCAATCTGTACATACTCTGAGGTCAGAGGCTGTATTTGTCCATGTATATTTTATTCTGTAATATGGAATAAAACAAGAACTTATAGGATAAAGATTAAATGAGTTAATCCAGGCAGAGAACTAGAATAGTACCTGATGTATATAAGGACTGTGTAAGCTGTGGCCATAGTAATACTAATTAGCACTATGCCTAGAACAAAGGATGTGCTCTATAAATTATTTGTTGAATGAAAGAGGAATGAATAAATGAATGAATAAATTAATGAATTCAGCAATCCAGATGGCCCCCTTTTCCCAACCAGCAAAGATGTATAGAAAACTATCACAGGGAGGAATTATTGATCTTCATTGTCTACTGCCATCACAATAAGTGGTAAAAACAGCAAGTTTGGTTTCCTGGGATTTTGAGTTCATTCTACCATGTTGCTGAAAAAATATTCAAAGCAAGGAGAAATGGAATTAAGAGATAAAGAATTGTAATGTCACAAAATGTATTTCCATGCTTCTCAATCTTGTCTTAACTAAAATATATGCTTCTTAATGAGCACCATACTGCTTAATTATTTCCAGGCTGAATCCTTCAGAAAACCATGCATGTCAGGTAGTCCATTCCAACACATGTTTATACAAAACATTTCATCTTAGGTTGCCAAAAAGGGAAGGGCTTTACCCATTTGTTCTAGGACATTCCATAGATCTGGTTCCTCAATGTGTTTAAGGGAAAGGCATCAGTCACCTGAGTGCACATCATGCTCTGCTGGCCTAACAGAAACACACGCGAATGAACTTGGGCTCCCAGCACAGTCTGTAGTAGCAGGACTGACACACCTTTCAAAAGCTGGAAACAGGAGGGAGGGCAGCCAAGATGGCTGAATAGGAATAGCTCTGGTCTAAAGCTCCCAGCGTGAGCGACGCAGAAGACGGGTGATTTCTGCATTTCTGTCTAAGGTACTGGGTTCATCTCACTAGGGAGTGCCAGACAGTGGGTGCAAGACAGTGGGTGTAGTGCACCGTGCGTGAGCCGAAGCAGGGCAAGGCATTGCCTCACTCGGGAAGCGCAAGGGGTCAGGGAGTTCCCTTTCCGAGTCAAAGAAAGGGGTGACAGATGGCACCCGGAAAATCGGGTCACTCCCACCCTAATACTGCGCTTTTCTGATGGGCTTAAAAAACGGTGCACCAGGAGATTATATCCTGCACATGGCTTGGAGGGTCCTGCACCCACAGAGTCTCGCTGATTGCTAGCACAGCAGCCTGAGATCAAACTGCAAGGAGGCAGCGAGGCTGGGGGAGGGGCGCCCGCCATTGCCCAGGCTTGCTTAGGTAAACAAAGCAGCCGGGAAGCTTGAACTGGGTGGAGCCCACCACAGTTCAAGGAGGCCTGCCTGCCTCTGTAGGCTCCACCTCTGGGGGCAGGGCACAGACAAACAAAAAGACAAACAAAAAGACAAACAAAAAGGGCACAGACAAACAAAAACAAACCACTGCAGTAACCTCTGCAGACTTAAATGTCCCTGTCTGACAGCTTTGAAGAGAGCAGTGGTTCTCCCAGCACAAAGCTGGAGATCTGAGAACTGGCAGACTGCCTCCTCAAGTGGGTCCCTGACCCCTGACTCCCGAGCAGCCTAACTGGGAGGCACCCCCCAATAGGGGCAGACTGACACCTCACACGGCCGGGTACTCCTCTGAGACAAAAATTCCAGAGGAACGATCAGACAGCAGCACTTGCGGTTCATGAAAATCTGCTGTTCTGCAGCCACCGCTACTGATACCCAGGCAGATAGGGTCTGGAGTGGACCTCTAGCAAACTCCAACAGACCTGCAGCTGAGGGTCCTGTCTGTTAGAAGGAAAACTAACAAACAGAAAGGACATCCACACCAAAAACCCATCTGTACATCAGCATCATCAAAGACCAAAAGTAGATAAAACCACAAAGATGGGGAAAAAACAGAGCAGAAAAACTGGAAACTCTAAAAAGCAGAGCACCTCTCCTCCTCCAAAGGAACGCAGTTCCTCACCAGCAATGGAACAAAGCTGGACGGAGAATGACTTTGACGAGTTGAGAGAAGAAGGCTTCAGACGATCAAACTACTCTGAGCTACAGGAGGAAATTCAAACCAAAGGCAAAGAAGTTAATAACTTTGAAAAAAATTTAGAAGAATGTATAACTAGAATAACCAATACAGAGAAGTGCTTAAAGGAGCTGATGGAGCTGAAAGCCAAGGCTCCAGAACTACATGAAGAATGCAGAAGCCTCAGGAGCTGATGCAATCAACTGGAAGAAAGAGTATCAGTGATGGAAGATGAAATGAATGAAATGAAGCAAGAAGGGAAGTTTAGAGAAAAAAGAATAAAAAGAAATGATCAAAGCCTCCAAGAAATATGGGACTATGTGAAAAGACCAAACCTACGTCTGATTGGTGTACCTAAAAGTGATGGGGAGAATGGAACCAAGTTGGAAAACACTCTGCAGGATATTATCCAGGAGAACTTCCCCAATCGAGCAAGGCAGGCCAACATTCAGATTCAGGAAATACAGAGAATGCCACAAAGATACTCCTCAAGAAGAGCAACTCCAAGACACATAATTGTCAGATTCACCAAAGTTGAAATGAAGGAAAAAATGTTAAGGGCAGCCAGGGAGAAAGGTTGGGTTACCCACAAAGGGAAGCCCATCAGACTAACAGCAGATCTCTTGGCAGAAATTCTACAAGCCAGAAGAGAGTGGGGGCCAATATTCAACGTTCTTAAAGAAAAGAATTTTCAACCCAGAATTTCATATCCAGCCAAACTAAGCTTCATAAGTGAAGGAGAAATAAAATACTTTACAGACAAGCAAATGCTGAGAGATTTTGTCACCGCCAGGCCTGCCCTAAAAGAGCTCCTGAAGGAAGCACTAAACATGGAAAGGAACAACTGGTACCAGCCACTGCAAAATCATGCCAAAATGTAAAGACCATAGAGACTAGGAAGAAACCACATCAACTAAGGAGCAAAATAACCAGCTGACATCATAATGACAGGATCAAATTCACACATAACAATACTAACTTTAAATGTAAATGGACTAAATGCTCCAATTAAGAGACACAGACTGGCAAATGGGATAAAGAGTCAAGACCCATCAGTGTGCTGTATTCAGGAAACCCATCTCATGTGCAGAGACACACATAGGCTCAAAATAAAAGGATGGAGGAAGATCTACCAAGCAAATGGAAAACAAAAAAAGGCAGGGGTTGCAATCCTAGTCTCTGATAAAACAGACTTTAAACCAACAAAGATCAAAAGAGACAAAGAAGGCCATTACATAATGGTAAAGGGATCTATTCAACAAGAAGAGCTAACTATCCTAAATATATATGCAACCAATACAGGAGCACCCAGATGCATAAAGCAAGTCCTGAGTGACCTATAAAGAGACTTAGACTGCCACACAATAATAATGGGAGACTTTAACACCCCACTGTCAACATTAGACAGATCAACAAGACAGAAAGTTAACAAGGATACCCAGGAATTGAACTCAGCTCTGCACCAAGTGGACCTAATAGACATCTACAGAACTCTCCACCCAAAATCAACAGAATATACATTTTTTTCAGCACCACACCACACCTATTCCAAAATTGACCACATAGTTGGAAGTAAAGCTCTCCTCAGCAAATGTAAAAGAACAGAAATTATAACAAACTGTCTCTCAGACCACAGTGCAATCAAACTAGAACTCAGGATTAACAAACTCACTCAAAACCGCTCAACTACATGGAAACTGAACAATCTGCTCCTGAATGACTACTGGGTACATAACGAAATGAAGGCAGAAATAAAGATGTTCTTTGAAACCAACAGGAACAAAGACACAACATACCAGAATCTCTGGGACACATTCAAAGCAGTGTGTAGAGGGAAATTTATAGCACTAAATGCCCACAAGAGAAAGCAGGAAAGATCCAAAATTGACACCCTAACATCACAATTAAAAGAACTAGAAAAGCAAGAGCAAACACATTCAAAAGCTAGCAGAAGGCAAGAAATAACTAAAATCAGAGCAGAACTGAAGGAAATAGAGACACAAAAAAACCCTTCAAAAAATTAATGAATCCAGGAGCTGGTTTTTTTAAAGGATCAACAAAATTGATAGAACGCTAGCAAGACTAATAAAGAAAAAAAGAGAGAATAATCAAATAGATGCAATAAAAAATGATAAAGGGGATATCACCACTGATCCCACAGAAATACAAACTACCATCAGAGAATACTACAAACAACTCTATGCAAATAAACTAGAAAATCTAGAAGAAATGGATAAATTCCTCGACACATACACTCTCCCAAGACTAAACCAGGAAGAAGTTGAATCTCTGAATAGACCAATAACAGGAGCTGAAATTGTGGCAATAATCAATAGCTTACCAACGAAAAAGAGTCCAGGACCAGATGGATTCACAGCCGAATTCTACCAGAGGTACAAGGAGTAACTGGTACCATTCCTTCTGAAACTATTCCAATCAATAGAAAAAGAGGGAATCCTCCCTAACTCATTTTATGAGGCCAGCATCATCCTGATACCAAAGCCGGGCAGAGACACAACCAAAAAAGAGAATTTTAGACCAATATCCCTGATGAACATTGATGCAAAAATCCTCAATAAAATACTGGCAAAACGAATCCAGCAGCACATCAAAAAGCTTATCCACCATGATCGAGTGGGCTTCATCCCTGGGATGCAAGGCTGGTTCAATATATGCAAATCAATAAATGTAATCCAGCATATAAACAGAACCAAAGACAAAAACCACATGATTATCTCAATAGATGCAGAAAAGGCCTTTGACAAAATTCAACAATGCTTCATGCTAAAAACTCTCAATAAATTAGGTATTGATGGGACGTATCTCAAAATAATAAGAGCTATCTATGACAAACCCATAGCCAATATCATACTGAATGGGCAAAAACTGGAAGCATTCCCTTTGAAAACTGGCACAAGACAGGGATGCCCTCTCTCACCACTCCTATTCAACATAGTGTTGGAAGTTCTGGCCAGGGCACTCAGGCAGGAGAAGGAAATAAAGGGTACTCAATTAGGAAAAGAGGAAGTCAAATTGTCCCTGTTTGCAGATGACATGATTGTATATCTAGAAAACCCCATTGTCTCAGCCCAAAATCTCCTTAAGGTGATAAGCAACTTCAGCAAAGTGTTAGGATACAAAATCAATGTACAAAAATCACAAGCATTCCTATACACCAACAACAGACAAACAGAGAGCCAAATCATGAGTGAACTCCCATTCACAATTGCTTCAAAGAGAATAAAATACCTAGGAATCCAACTTACAAGGGATGTGAAGGACCTCTTCAAGGAGAACTACAAACCACTGCTCAATGAAATAAAAGAGGATACAAACAAATGGAAGAACATTCCATGCTCATGGGTAGGAAGAATCAATATCATGAAAATGGCCATACTGCCCAAGGTAATTTATAGATTCAATGCCATCCCCATCAAGCAACCAATGACTTTCTTCACAGAATTGGAAAAAACTACTTTAAAGTTCATACGGAACCAAAAAAGAGCCCGCATCACCAAGTCAGTCCTAAGCCAAAAGAACAAAGCTGGAGGCATCACGCTACCTGACTTCAAACTATACTACAGGGCTACAGGAACCAAAACAGCATGGTACTGGTACCAAAACAGAGATATAGACCAATGGAACAGAACAGAGCCCTCAGAAATAATGCCGCATACCTACAACTATTTGATCTTTGACAAACCTGAGAAAAATAAGCAATGGGGAAAGGATTCCCTATTTAACAAATGGTGCTGGGAAAACTGGCTAGCTATATGTAGAAAGTTGAAACTGAATTCCTTCCTTACACCTTATACAAAAATTAATTCAAGATGGATTAAAGACTTAAATGTTAGACCTAAAACCATAAAAACCCTAGAAGAAAACCTAGGCATTACCATTCAGGACACAGGCATGGGCAAGGACTTCATGTCTAAAACACCAAAAGCAATGGAACAAAAGCCAAAATTGACAAATGGGATCTAATTAAACTAAAGAGCTTCTGCACAGCAAAAGAAACTACCATCAGAGTGAACAGGCAACCTACAACATGGGAGAAAATTTTCGCAACCTACTCATCTGACAGAGGGCTAATATCCAGAATCTACAATGAACTCAAACAAATTTACAAGAAAAAAACAAACAACCCCATCAGAAAGTGGGCAAAGGATATGAACAGACACTTCTCAAAAGAAGACATTTATGCAGCCAAAAGACACATGAAAAAATGCCCATCATCACTGGCCATCAGAGAAATGCAAATCAAAACCACAATGAGATACCATCTTACAACAGTTAGAATGGCCATCATTAAAAAGTCAGGAAACAACAGGTGCTGGAGAGGATGTGGAGAAATAGGAACACTTTTACACTGTTGGTGGGACTGTAAACTAGTTCAACCATTGTGGAAGTCAGTGTGGCCATTCCTCAGGGATCTAGAACTAGAAATACCATTTGACCCAGCCATCCCATTATTGGGTATATACCCAAAGGACTATAAATCTTGCTGCTATAAAGACACATGCACACATATGTTTATTGTGGCACTATTCACAATAGCAAAGACTTGGAACCAACCCAAATGTCCAACAATGATAGACTGGATTAAGAAAATGTGGCACATATACACTATGGAATACTATGCAGCCATAAAAAATGATGAGTTCATGTCCTTTGTAGGGACATGGATGAAATTGGAAATCATCATTCTCAGTAAACTATCGCAAGGACAAAAAACCAAACACTGCATGTTCTCACTCATAGGTGGGAATTGAACAATGAGAACACATCGACACAGGAAGGGGAACATCACACTCTGGGGACTGTTGTGGGGTGGGGGGAGGGGGGAGGGATAGCATTGGGAGATATACCTAATGCTAAATGACAAGTTAATGGGTGCAGCACACCAGCATGGCACATGTATACATATGTAACTAACCTGCATATTGTGCACATGTACCCGAAAACTTAAAGTATAATAATAATAAAATAAAATTAAAAAAAAAAGCTGGAAACAGGAAAGGTGTCTCTGAGTTGGCCCAACCCTGCCAAATGCTATTACGTGACAAAGTTTTATTAATTTATTGTCATTTAAGTCTGTGGTATTATTATTTTATTATTTTTGAGACAGAGTCTCACTCTGTCACCCAGGCAGGAGTGTAGTGGCCTGATCTTGGCTCACTGCAACCTCCACCTCTCGGGTTCAAATGATTCTCCTGCCTCAGCCTCCTGAGTAGCTGGGATTACAGGCGCGCACCACCACGCCCAGCTAATTTTTGCACTTTTTAGTAGAGATAGGGTTTCACCATATTGGCCAGGCTGGTCTTGAACTCCTGACCTTGTGATCTGCCTGCCTTGGCCTCCCAAAATGCTGGGATTCCAGGCGTGAGCCACCGTGCCTGGCCTGGTAATATTTTTAAATAGTTTTCCTGCAGATAGTTCATTTGGATTTATAAATAAACGCTGCCTCGTCATCATATCAGCAATATCTGATCTTATTTGTTCCCTTTCTCTAAAATTAACTTTTTTACTGTTACCCTGAACCCATCTATTCTAATGCTGAATTCTGAGAAAATTCATAGTTGGTTCCCCTCAGTTCAGTCATCAGTTTGGGAAAGTGGTATTTAATTTAAGATAATTGATAGTTATAAAAAATAATTCTAACAAAGAAATTGAGCCTTCATCCTGATACATGTAAAACTAAAGGGTGCTACATCGAAATCCATTACAGACAATGAGAAATACTGGAAATTTAGTCAACTGACCTATTTTCTTGTGGAGCAAACTGGATCTTTTCCCCAAAATGCTGAAGTCCTGGGCCTGTGAGGGAGCTGAGGATAGTCGCATTCTTTGACCTTCTTCTGGGTTTCCTAGGCGGAAGGGTGGGCTCTGGGACTGTCTGAATTCACGTCTATCCATGCCAGCCAAGTGGAGAGCCTCCTGAGCTTTCTTCTTTTCTTTTTTTAACATGTTGACCAGGATATCTGAAACTTGACTTAAGGATTTAATGCCTGATGCTAGCTTATAGTAATCAAAACACAAATGTCCTAAGTGTCATTAATGTTCCTAACATTTGCTATTTATCATGTGGTAAAGACTGAAGGAAGGCTTCAACTTCCTGAAGCCCCATATATAGCAATGGACAATTTAGGAGGCTTGCTTTCTATATAGCACCACTGTATGAAAAATTAGCAAACGCAAGGTCTTTACAATGTTCTGAGTTTAAACCAGGTACATCTTAACAATCTTATGAAAGTGCTTATAAAAAGTCAAATGAAGGCTGAATAGTAGTAGACAATAGGCTATGTATACATCTTCCCAGATAAAAGATGAATTTACTCACATAGCCCATGTATATGTATCAGCCCCCTGGGCGAGCACGCGCCTGCTCGGGAGGCAGCAGCAGAGCAGAGCGGGAGGATGGTGAAACCCACCCGGCTGGCAGATCAGCCGTCTTCATCCTGGCGGCCGGTGCGGTGACAAAGGTTCAGCCAGAGCACCCCAAGCTCAGCACGTGCTTATGTAGAGTTCACTCAGATGGGGGCTTTTTAAGCCACTAATGTTTGGTCTCAAATGTAACAGAAAAGAAGCGAATTGTTAGCACAGACATATCATTTTAAAATGCACCTTCTGTAGGCCATTGAGATATGCCAGGACCATTGATGATAAAGGATAAAACCACTCCCCTCTACCCTACTTCAGTGTTCATTCTGTGTTCACGATGCCTAGAACTCTAAGAGATTTTTGTCCAATCTGCTAAATGGAAAGACTGTAACCCCTACTGAGAATCTCAGAGCTCTAACTGCATATGGGGTAAGATGAATTCAATGCCTTTGCATCGCTAGAGAAGGCTCATTAAAATGGGAGTCTAAATGTGGTATGTGTCCTAAAGGGTAAACTTTTCAGAGGAAGGGGATACAGAGAGCACTGCTACTTAGAAAGGCGGACAGGTACCCAGATGATATTTATTCTTGGACAAGCAGCGTGGAAGTCATTTGACCTTCATCTTCCTCCTCAGCTTTAACTCCCACTTGGTGATTTCTGGAAGCATAATCAGGTTTGCTCTCTCTGATGTGGCTTCCATTCCTTGCCCCAAAACAACATGTACTTACCAAAAATGTTCACAGCTTCTTAGTGTCTAAGCATTAACATGACAGAGAAGAACAGGGCTCTGGCCGAACACGCTGCTCCTCTTTGTATGGAACTGATTACCAATGTCATCATACACTTCCATTGGTTCACACACTGTGATGGCAATATCCATCGACTCCATCGACTCACTCATTCAGTGATATTTGTTGGAGCTTGTGCTATAGATGCCAGGCCCTGTTCTAGGCATCGGTATAGAGCAATGACAAGGCAGAGTAGTTTCTTGCTCTCACGAAGCAGACGTCCTACTGGGGAAAGACGTCTCACACATGCATGCATGCACATGCACACACACACAACATCAGAATGCCACATACCTAATCTGAAGAAGGTCAAGGGTGACTGGGCAGCTGCTATACATTGGGTGCTACAAAAGGCCTAAGAGTGACCTTTAAGCTGAGATCTGAGCCATAAGAAGAACCAGCCAGAGGAAGAACATCAATGCAGAGGAGAAACAGGAAGTTTCCCTAAAGAGAAACAGGCCCGGAAGTGGCTCCCAATGCTACAGTCCTGTGATCCCACTTCCTACAATGCACAGGACAGCTCCTGAGATGAAGAATTATCCAGCCACAAATGTTGATAGTGCCAAGGCTGAGGAACCTCGTGTTAGAAGAACAACAAGAAGGTAACTGTGACTGAAGCCTAGCACACGTGGGACGAGGCATGAGAAATGAGGTCCGTGGGGGAGGGGATGGTGTAGGCAGGGCAAGATCATCCAGGCCCTCGTAAACCAGAGCAAGGAGTTTGGTTTCATTCTTCATATCATGGGAAGCCCCTTGAAGACTTTAATGAGAATAATGATGCGTTCTGATGTACATTTCATAAAGATCGCAATACGAATCTATCTTCTGTGCTGCCTTCCTTCTTCTCACCTTTCCCCTGTCTTCTTGTCCTCCCTATTCCCATTTATGGGAATGGCCTTTGTGCTAAACACTTTGCTGGGTCATGGATCCCCCTGTCATATATTTTGTGAAGGGGTGTGTGAACTTTATTCAAGCTGAGGATGTCACCAACAGGACATCATTTTCAGTCTCTTTCCAAGAAGATCTGATGTCGTTCGCAGTCATTTGGGTGCATTACTGTCTTTTGTGAAACTCAATTATAATCACTTTTTTTATTTCCTGGAAGCCATATCTTTCCCATTTGTTGTGTCACAGTCTTAGCCTTCTGGGTTCTACAAAGAAAGATATGAAAACATCCTCCAACCTGACTCTGAATAACTGTGAGATTTCAGGAGGTTTTCTTAGTCGTTGGTCTTTGATAAGCACAGCTTTGAGAGGATTAAATCTTAGCTGCTATTCTTCCTTCTTCTGAGATTGCTTATTGTCTTCATAGTCATAACTCCAATTACATCACACTCCGCAGTGCTCAAAGCACTTATGGGCTTTTCTCAGCAGGTCTTATGGTCCTGCTCCTGAAGAGTAGAAAGCAATGTCACTGAGTAGGTACAGAGCTAATAAATGAAGAGCTAGGATTTCAATCCAGGTATGAATTGAAGTGCAGTATTCTTTCCACTCTGACTCCCATACACCATCATTTTGAATAAGAGTGTCAGATGGAGGGAGCCCTGTTTGAATTGCTGACAGTTAGTAAAGAATCTAGGGTAACCCCACATGAATGGTGATGCCTGGATTCACCACAGTGAAGGAGGGGAGGTGATGGATATCTCTCTTTCACTCTCTTTTAAAAATAAACATATAGGAACAAACTTGGACTGTTCTCTCTCTGTCATATCTCATTTCATCCCTCCTATATGCACAGACATTCATAAGCCCAGAAGGGGATTAAGAAGTTGGTAGGAGTATTTAAAGGAGAAGATCCTAGACTAGGATCAAGGCCAGGAAAAGAAACAGAGCTCAGACTGGGGCTGGGGCCAGGACTGAGGTCCAGGCCGAGACCATGCCAGGAGATGGATGGTGTAAGAGGAAGGAAAAGGAATGTGAGGGTGACAACACCATGGGCAGCACTGACGGATGAAGGCTTGTGTGTGTGTGTGTGGGTGGGGGGGGATTCTCAGCTGAACCTACTGTTCCCTGGCCAGCTAAAACTCACTTGAATCTGACACACAGGATCTGCTGATACTCAAGTAAAATTAGAGACCAAAGTTAATCAGGCAACATGTCTACCTCCCATTTGGTTTGTTCTTACCTCTTTATTACTGGGTTTCCTTTATGTAGACTATTTTCATGCATTTTGCATAAATAGCTGAAGCTAAAGCATCTTTTGGTAATTTAAAAAAAGAACAAAAATATCTGTTTATAAAGAACTGACCGAAAGGATTTCTTGTGCATGTTTAAATTCTGCAAACGTAATGAAAATGTCAAATCTTTTTACAAGAAGCTTGAAAGATAAAATGAGAAACAATACCAAAGAAATATCTGGGAGGCCTGAGTTCCACCCAACCCCACAGGGGCTCCATAGAAGTAACCACTTCGTCTGCAACTGGAGGCAGCACATGCTCCCATGGGCTACTACCACTTTCAGCACCCAAAATACACTGCCTCTTGGAGCCAATAAGAATTCTATCTTATTTGGTACTGATCAGTTTAGCTAAAAAAAAGAATTCTATCTTGAACACTCATCTATACTCACTTCCAAATTTGGGAACATTTGTAAGTGTAACTCAAAGCAGTAGATCTGGCTTTTAAATAAAAAGTTACATTTAAATCAATCTCTGCTCTTCATAAGCTAAATACCATTTGTCATTTTTCAGCCATCATTTGAGTTTCACCCACGCACCAGCCACAGATTCTGGGCCATGGTGAGTCTGTGGTCAGCCTGTTGTCTGGTCAGCTTGCTAAAGATAACCAGCTAACTTACTGGCTCAGGGCTAACACAAAGAGAACACAACAGAGGAGCCAAAAAATATATTTTAAAAAATTAATGTTAAAAGATGGTGTAAAAAGGCTCATACTTTGAAATAAACTAAAATGTTCCCTGCAAGAGTAACTATGTCAGGATAAAAACAAACACATTTTTTTCTTTTATAGAAACTCTTTTTCACTGGTTGCAATACTTTGCTGAAGGGACCTTTGACTTCTCAATGGAAAGAAGCAATGTGAAATGGAAGCTGGGTGGGGAGCTCAGCCATGTGGCTCAGGAAAGACTGCTGTTTACCCCTTTCAAACCAGGATAGAGGAAGTTTCTTCATCACTTCAGAAAGGATACTGATTTCGTTATCTCTCTGTTTCAGAATATCTCGTAGCTTTCTATATTCTTCTTCTTTTAATGGTTCTTGACAATCTTGGTCTTTGCTTTCAGAGGAGACTGTATTGTTTTCAAGGATCTTCTTGTCATTCAATAGTTTCTGTAAGATAAAATAAGAGCTTAGTACCCATATCTCTAGTCCAAATTTCTTTGTTTCTTTGACTCTTTTTCCTTTAACAATTCCCTGCACACATCAGGCATGTGTGACCTGTCTGATGCAGGTGCGATGTCTTTGCGATGCAGTTGCTTTTTTGGCTTGGCATGTTTTCTCCCTTCTACCTGCCTTCTTTCCCCTCCTCCTTCCTCAACCCTCTCTCCCCATCTTATCTCTCCTTCCCTAAATTGGGAAATGCCTACTCAACATTATCTCTTCTTGGACTCCTTTCCCTTTCTCTATACATCATTCCACTTAATTTACACTTTTATTCTAGTACTTATCATGTATTGTGATTATTCTTTACAACATCTGTCATCTCCATGACTTGCTTATTAAACTTTGTCTTATCTATACCTGGCCCTTAGTAACTCACAACAAATGTTTATTATCTTAAAGAAGTATGCAAAAATACAAGTGAGCTAAAAGTAAAAGTGATTATATTCCCAGCCCCTTGTCATGAAAATTAAAACCTAAGGCAGAGAAAAACTGAAATATCATATGGGTATATCAAACTGCTGAAAAAATACAGAATGCAATTCTCTTGATATAGCTTGAAAATAGTTTTTTAAAAAATATGGAACTATTCTGTGTAGAAGGTAGAGATTCCTGACAAAAGAATTAGAAGTCCATGGCCTGAGTTTATTTATTGGCAAGTAAGATACAATCTCTGAAGAAACTCAGTGATAATCATACTATTGATTCAAAGATCGTACCATTTTCTGGACATGCAATGCTGGATCCTAACCTTCCAAGAACTGGTCAACTAGAAAAGTTTTTTTGCAGCTTGAACATGGCTGAAAATGGCTTCTATTGGGGAAACATTTAAGTTTACCTTTAAATGATGAAAACAGTGATGAACTTTACGCATATCCGCGCCAACCTCTAATCTACTGTCTGAATCCTGGTCTTCCAAAAAGGATGTTATTAGTTTTTCCAGCCTAAAAATACATAATGTATGAGAAGCAACTGTGAGCTAGAAGCTTTAAAAATTCTAATGGCATTATCTAGTTGGTTAACATTTGAAGTACAGAATATTGTTCCCACCTCTTTACAGAAGTACAGATTTGAGTATAAAAATTAAGGGAAAAGAAACATTGACAAAGTGAAATTTATAGTGAAGCCATTATTTGACTAATTTCCAGTGAATTTTCTTATGAAGCTTTCAATATAGAAATCATTTGATTTCTATGGTCCATCCATTCTAGCCACTCTGAATTTCTATGCCCCTGTGCCTGGCTGCTGCATTGCTAGAAAAAGTAATGAGAATGTATTTTAAATTAATTTCACTAAAAATGCATGTGACTCCGCTTCAGCTGGCACCTCAGTGATACCCCACTATTTTTTTAATCATTCCAGGTGATCTTCTATTCTTCACAGTGCCTATTCCAAATCTTTCTACAGCCCCCAAGCCTGCCACTACTCTTTCACTCTCTGTCAATAAAGTCACTTCTTTATTGGTGAAAGCCATGCAGACTCCTTTGTTTCCTCCTCCTTTGCCTCAGAGTGTCTCTGCCTCACTGCTCAGGCCCTCTTCCTGCTTTTATAGATTGTGGATATTCTTCCTCTTTCTGAAGGCCAGTTTCTCCCCTGGGCTCTCTCTCTGCTTCTTCCAGGGCTTATCTAGTTAATTACCTCTTTTCCCTTAATCATCTCTTTATCTCCTCTCTATACTGACTCCTTCCTCTTTGCTTACAATCATGTTGTTTTTCCTATCCTAAAACAAAATGAAATAGAAAACAAAACACCTCCCTTTGGAGGGACCATCCAACCACTCTATTCTAAAGTCCTAGTTTGGCCGGGTACAGTGGCTCACACTTGTAATCCCAGCACTTTGGGAGGCCCAGGTGGGCGGATCACTTGAGGTCAGGAGTTCAAGACCAGCCTGACCAACAGAGTGAAACCCCTTCTCTTCTAAAAACACAAAAACTAGCCAGGCAAATTGGCATGTGCCTGTAATCCTATCTACTTAGGAGGCTGAGGCAGGAGAATCACTTGAACCCAGGAGGCAGAGGTTGCAGTGGGTTGAGATTGTGCCACTGCACTCCAGCCTGGGCAAAAGAACAAGACCCTGTCTCAAAAAAAAAAAAAAAAAAAGTCCTAGTTTATTCATAGCACCACGTGCCAATGTAGCATTCTAGTACTTTGTATCAGAGGGAAATTCTTGGCTCTTATTTATCTTTGTTCTTCCCGTCCCCCTAACATTAGGTTCTCAACACAAATATGTTCACTAGTTACTGGATTCACTGCCATGGACATGGTTCCCCTCTAGGTTGAGATGGAACTCTTAATAAGGAAGGTTTAAGGATGACAATCAGTATCTATGATGTTATGTATCATAATACAGCAGCAGCATATCTTTCTAGTACTATTATGAAAATATTTGCATACTTTCAGCATCTTTTAAAACTGTATCTACACATTTCTCTTCTGCTGTTACTATCAGCCCACCCAGATAAAATGTAATGATTTCTATCATAGAACAGCCTTGGATTTCATTTGTACCTCTTGTAATTTGTGACATGTGACAGCTATATATTTACAAGTGTGAGACAATTTATACCGTTACTTTTAAGGAGTTTCTTTAGGTGAAGAGATACTTATTTGCACTATTTGCTGATTGACAGTGTGTTTCCTTTTGGATTAGAGCTTCAAACCATCAGATATACAGAGGGATTTATTCCTGATACATTTTTTAAAAAATCATGTAAATTATTATGAAAACACATGTTTATGAACAAAATTCCAAACAATGCAGATGTGAATATATTAAAAAGTGAAAACTCCTCCCACTCCCCTGCCACCATTCCCCTCCACCTTTTTTTAAAAAAATTTGATACCTTGGGAAATCCACTGTTAACAGTTAAAATATATTATTCTTATTCTTAATGAAGCAGATACCTATATTTATATATTCATTTATACATTTTGGTTTGTTGTTTTTACAAAAATGAGATCATAGTCTGAATAATGCTTTACATCATTATATTTCTAAAGCATTTATGGCAGATGAGCTTTTCCATCAGTGCATACACAGTAAAGGTATTTCATTTCTAATGGCTATATAATATTCCATACTATGGATGTACTACTATTCCTCTCTTGATGGACACTGAGGTGACATACTCATACAGTTGCTACTTTCCTCTGTAACCCATGATGAGACCTTGATCTACAAACCTGACTTAATGAGGTTTAAAAAATAGTAATGTTTAGCTACTTGTATTTTCCCTGAATACATAGCAGAAATTTTGAAATTTCAAAAATCACTGTGGGTTCTAGAATATACACTCGTTTTCTGGAGTGAAAGCACTTTGTGATTTCCAGAGTCCATAAAATTTCTAGCAGACAATATTAAGTTGGAAGTAATGGTTAATCAATTCTTTCTTCTTGCTTTTTCTTTAGAAAACAACTTTTGAATAGTTTAATCACAAGTACATATTCTAGGAAACGTTCTCTGAAGGAAGGCTGAAGTGGACTCCTAGCTCAGAAGGAAACCTCGTAAGATACAAGCCTGCTGATGAGCTGGACCACTCACAGATTGCTCACGTGCACTGGGCTTTGGTATTCCATCAAGGCTCCTCTCCCACACAGCAACACTGTAGAATACAAGGAGGACCAGGGACATGATCCAAAGAAATGGGCAAGAACTTCTGCCTGAGTAAAAGAACTGATCGCTTTACTCTTTCTGGGACTTGATTAGTCTAGTACATAACTAAGAATGAAGATCAGCCTTTTGACATGCTATTTTGCTTTCAGCACTTGAGAACACAAAGAAACATGCCTGGTCTTTCCTTCATACATTTGATTTACTGTTGGGTTTATTTCCTTATCAGGCAAGGACTTGGTCTAATAATTAAAATGCAGAAAAATGCTTAATTCAGATGTTTTCGTTGTACTCCTCTAGTAGTTGAGAGTGAACAAATGAACCCAAATTCCCCACATTTTCCTATCTACCAAAATAGTGTCCAAGTTTATACCTAGTCCCTGCTCCCTCTAAGGGGTCTCCCAGCTGCCAGAACTCTGCTGAACAGTGGAAAACTGTTTGCAGAAAAGTCTCGCTAAGGAGGTCAAGTGAGTACAATAAAGTCTATTTTTTAGGACAAGCCCAAGTCAACAAGAGCTTTCCTTATTCTCTACTTACACTAGAAGAAAAGAAGGAAGAAAAAAGAATCCTAGGGGAAAGAGAAAAGAAATACACACCATTCAGTAACAAGAAATATTGTAATAATTTAGTGTGTCTGAACACATGACTTCGCTGATGGTAGGTGATGGTTTGATGTCTGGTGACTATACAGATCTCAGCCAAATTGACTGCTAATGAAATACCTCTGACAGCCTGTGTCCTGGTTCAGCAACTCCATCATATTAGAAATTTTGATATATGGCCACATAATTAGAACTGACCATATTTCCTAACATGTGCTTTACCTTCTTGAGGCCACTGCACTCCCCTCTCTGCTCCTTATATTCCTTGTACAAAAAAAAAAAGCTCTCTCTGTAGCCATATGTCCCTAAAAATTTAGGTTTAATAGCATGAATAAAAAGACAAAGCAAGCTTCTCATCATTAATGACAGCCAACATTGAGCATGCACTAAATGCTGGACACTCTTCTGTGCTATTTGCATATATCATTTCCTTAATTTTTACAACAACCCATGAGAAAAGTGCTATTATTATCCCCATGTCATAGGTGAGGAAACTGAAGCACAGAGATATTACGTATCTTGTCCAAGCTCACACAGCAAGCACACAGGTAAAATCCAAGTTTTGAAGCACAATACTTACCATACTATAACAAAGTTACTCAAAGTATTTGAATACCATATTGGGTGATGTATTTCTAAAAGGGAGAACCCACACCTGCAAGCATTCATTGAGGAGGCAAATAGGTGGACGAAGAAGTGGGAAATAACTGAAAAGCAGTTGCTTAGATCTTAGCAAGGCCACGGACCCCCATGACTTGTAACGGCAAAAAAAGTTGGGAAGGAATCAGAATGTGCTGTATTTGAAGATTACTTAAATTAATTATGGCATAGCTATGTACATAGTTAAGCAGCAATTTAAGTGACGGCAAAGTGTTGTACTTATTGACATTAAAAACACTCATACTATATATGGATAGCTTAATGATGAATCCCTCTGCAGGGATTCTGCAAGTACACTGTAACACACATAAGAAGACTGAAGAGACAAAAAGGAAGGAAAGGCATGAGGGAAGGGAGAGAGGGAGGGAGGGGAGCAGATCAGCAGTCCCGAAATTTTTGGCCAGCTAGTTGTCTTTGGCTCAAGAACATTCATCATCTTTTGTTGAAAAAAGAGACCAGCGACCCAAGCTAACCTCACTCTTCTTCAATATTTTTATGATTATGTTATGTTTAACTGTTTTAAAAAATTCATCATTTATACATTGAGTGTGATTAAGATGTTCTCATTATTCTCAAATAATCTTTGTAAAAAAATATGAACATGTTCGTGTCAGCAGTGGGTTCTAGAAATTGGCTAGAAACCATATCTCTATGGCACTGGCTGTGGGAAAGTTGGGAGAACAGAAGAGTGGGATATTAGAAACAAGAGCAAACCTAACCCAGGGCATGGAAATGCTGGCTGTTTCCAAATAACTGGGACAGCAATGGGAGGTGTGCCCCAGGAGTGGGAGGGGAGCCTGGTGCTGTAACTGGGGCAGAGATAGCAGAAGCATGCAGCAGCACAGTATTATTCTAGAGAATTTACTATAAACAAGGCTCGGGGGATGCAAAGCAATGGGACTGCATCCTCTAATATCAAGCTGGAAATAGTGAGGGGGATGAAAAATACCCCAGTTGGTGGGGCAGAGCTTCCCTGTGGTAGAACCATGGAAATTGGTATTCCAGAGCTGATGGTTCTTAGCTCAACTGTCTCCTCACTGGTTTGGGGAGACGATTTGACAGCTCATTCCAGAGAGCTAGAAAGGAGTTCTGATTTATAAAACTAACTTGTATTAATTATACCAAATACATATCAAAATCTGCCTCACTGCTCTAAATCATTTTGCCACTTAAAGATGTCTCCATTGAGGGTGAGTTGTCTCTGACAGGGTTAAACATGGGGATACTGACAAACTAAAGCTACATATTACCTGAGCAAAGATCGGGAAAAGAATGGGAGATAGTGACAAAGATATAAAAGGATGTAAAGGATTATTTTCTATGGCTGAATAATACTCCATTGTGTACACACACCACATTTTCTTTATCTATTCATCTGTTGATGGACACAGGTTGATTTCATATCTTGGCTGTTGTGAATAGTGCTGCAATAAATATGGGAGTGCGGATATCTCTTCCATATACTGATTTCCTTTCTTTTGGATATATACCCAGTAGTCGGATTGCTGGATTGTACAGCAGTTCTAGTTTTAGTTTTTGGAGGAAACTCCATACTGAAATCCTGTCATTTGCAACAACATATTTAGAAATGGAGGATATTATGTTAAGTGAAATAAGCCAAGCACAGAAAGACAAATATCACATGTTGTCACTCACACGTGGGAACTAAATAAAAAATTAACTCATGGAGATAAAGAATAGAATAACAGTTTTCAGAGGCTGGGAAGAGTAGTGGGGAGAGAGAGGATAAAGAGAGGATGGTTAATGGGTACAAAAATATAGTCAGAAGGAATAAGATCCAGTATTCAGTGGCACAATGGGGTGACTATAGTTAACAATAATTTATTGTATATTTCGAAATAACTAAAAGAGTGGAATTGGAATGTTCCTAACACAAATAAATGATAAGTGCTTGAGGCAATGGATATCCCAATTCCTCTGATTTGATTATTACACATTATACGTTTGTATCAAAATATCACATGTCCTATAAATATGTACAACTAATATATATCCATAATATTAAAAATTAAAAAAACTTTAGAAAGTATAAAAGGAAACTTGATAATTATTAACTTAAAGGAATATGATAACTAGGAAGAATTGAGAGAATAGTTACACAATTTAAAAAATTGACTGTGGTAGCATAAGAAATATGGCAGAATGATTGGTTGAATGATCTTCATTCATCAACCCTCTGTGGGTTAAAACTTTCTCATTTGTAAAATGTGTAGAATAATACCATCTTTACACTATTAGCTTTACGAAATCAGATAATGCAAGGAACGAAGAGAGAATACGCCTGGCCTATTAAGGCTTTGCTATTCGACTGGACCAACTTTATAGGAATCGGCTATGAGACTTTTGAAAATATAGAATTTTCGGCTCCATCCCAGACCTCCTGAGTCAGAATCTACATTTAACAACATTCCCAGGTGATCTGCATACACACTAATGTTAAGAAGCATTGCAACAAGGCAACTGGTTATTGAATGTTGACACAAGAATACATACACATCTTTTCAGTTCGGAACACCAAACAAAGATGTAACTGGAAATGTTCTGTGAAGGAGGAACTAACATCCCTTGATAGTCAACCATGTCCTGAGCACTCTGCTAGTGACTTTACACATGTTTTCTTATTTAAGTGGAAAAAGAGCCCTTTAGGGACTATCATAGTCTGGTTCTCTTTATACCCGCCTTGTCCCAGTTATTTTATTATTACTTTCATTCAATATCCATTAAAACATGTCAGGCACTTTCACATATATTTTGTTATTCATCTGTTCCATAAGTCTATAAATTATTATCACTCTTTCACAGATGGGAATAGGAAAGCTAAGAGAAGTTCAGTAACTTGCATATTGTCACTAAGGTAGGAAATTGAAACACTGAGATTTGAAAACAATTCTTTTGACTCAAGAATCCCCACTCTTTGCATTCATACTACAAAGACTCTCAGTTAATTCAGAAAAGTGCTTTCCACATGCCATAATCTCTGACATACTATATTTGTATTTTCAATTTAGAATGTTCCTGTGAACTTTTAACCAGGAAAGATGCAAACAACATAGTTAATGAGAATATCAAATAAACATAATGAGATCATCAAATAAATAGTAACTAGTCTGCCATATTAAAAAAAAGAGTTTTTAACAGGCTGAAATGGTAGGGGGCAAAGGATGGGGTTCTTTTTGGGATGTGGCCCTTTAAAACATACAGTATTGAGATAGCAGGTAATGCACAAAAGGAAAGTTCAGATAACAATAAATTCATAATTATGATTAACTACATAACTACACAATCCACCAAGGACATGAAAAGCTGAAGGCTGAGATTGTGCCAATAGGACTATGACCAAAGGAAACTATACAAAAATTTTTCAGGGTCATTAGTTTCATGTTTGCTTTTTCTGAGATTCTGCTGAAAGAATCAATTCCAATTGACTTAAAAGTAGTCACTTCAAGAGTTTTTCCTTTTGCAGTTTCCTGGTCTGTGACAGGTATTATATACATTATATGCTCCCCTAGCCCTAACCAGTTAGTGAAAGACATGGACCCTTACATGCAAGGAATTGAGTTCAATGTCAGCAACTCTGTTGGAATGAGCTCTTTTTTTAAATAACAGTAGGGGGCCAGAAAGTTCATGGTTTTGGTGATGCAGAGGAAATTCCTATAGAGTTTTCCTTCTGTAGGGTAAATTCATCTTAGTAATGCATATTTCCTTCACCTCAACAAAAGCACAGTCATGTAGTACCTCAAATGCAGAAATGCACAACTTCTTGATACTTTTAGTGATTTGAAATAGCAAATGCGAAAAATCAAAATTAAAATCCAGACTGGTTTGCCTTTTTAATGGTGAAGATAAGGCCTATTTATAGGTGCATGTATGCATTCATGGCCAGGTACTTCTGTTTACAGAATTTCAAAAACTATTTTGAAATAATTTTTAAATAAACTAAGACAACTTTAAAGACAGTAGGGCATATTTTACAAGGTCCTTTAAATGCAATGATGAAGGGTTTTGAAAAGTTATACGATTGATTTTGTTTTTGTCAATCCAGATTTTCATATATCCAATTTACTTAAAGGTATATATGTCTTATGACTAAACATTTTAAATTCAGTAGGTAGAGACGGGCTCAGGAGTCTAGAACAAATGTAAATAAGAGATGAAAATAGCTGGCCTGGCTGAGGAGAAGCAGAGGCTGGGCCACAGGCACTGCTGCCCCTGGGGACCTTAAGTGGGATACGAGAAGTATTTGAGACTCTCACCACCAAGCTCCCACCACTTCTGTAGGAGGCCAAGGACAGCGTGCTTGACCTCAAGCTGGCAGCTGACATCCTATCTGTGTGCCAGAAACCGCAGGTTTACAGCATTACCAATGTATTGGAAGGCATAGGGCTAATGGAGAAAAAATATCCAAGAACAGCATCAGTGGAAAGGCATGGGGCCTGGCTGCAATAGGGCTGGAGATTGCAGACAAGCTGACTGAGCTCAAGGCAGAGATCGAGGAACCGCAGAAGCAAGAGCAAAAACCGGACCAGCACAAGGTGTGGGGGAAGCAGAACATCTGGAACATCATAGCTGCTTGGCCTATGTGACTCATGAGGACATGGGTAGAGGCTTTGCTGGAGACACCCTCCTACCATACTGGCCACACAGACCCTGTCTGGTAGCAGCCCACAGGCACCCATCCCAGAAGTCCCCAGTGGGCAACAGTAAGAGATTCACCTGAACAGCCTGACTGGCCCCTTCAAGGCTGGTGAACAAGGAGGCATGGAGCTCACCACCTGTGGCTGTGTCTATGCCGTCACCCTCCAGAGCCCACCTGCTGTCTCTGGCCCTCCATCTCTGCCCAAGCCTTCCCTGTTCCATCTCCAGGAAACCTCACATGCATGTAGGACTCAGTTGACCACCCCTTACCTCTGACCCTGACAGCTCCGGAGCCCAGTGGTGAGCTGAGCTCACTCCCACTGGGCCGGCAGCATGAGACACTGGCCCCCTGCAGTCTTCTTTCCTGCTGGATAGCAGCAGCTGCAGCAATGATACCAATGCATCAGAACCCAACCCCGCTATCTCCTTTGAACCCCTCAAGGCAGACCCTACAGGCATTCTGGAACTCCCCGAAGAGCTGCCACTCTTGGATCTCACACAAGAACACATGAGCTCAGAGCTGCTGGAGGCATTGATGTTCTCAGAAATATTCTCCCTCCTCCTCCATCTTTCTCCATCTGCCAAGATCATGAGATCATGGTTACACCTACAACCTGGATGAGAGTAAGGGTGTCTGTGACCTCTTTGATGTGTCTATTCTCAGCCTCTGACTGACAGGGACATGTCCTGTGTGGCTGAGACACAGACTGTCTGACCTGGAGGCTGCCTGGGGACCAACCCCTACCCCATCACTACACAGCTTGAGAGCCACAGGCTCTGGACTTCTCCCCGCCCCCCTTCACTGCACAGTTCTGGCCACAAATCCCACTCCTGCACCAGCACCTGGACTGTCTTAGAGATCAGGGGAAAGCTCCAGCCCCCTGCACCATGAAGCCAAAGTGTTTGCCTCTCCTTTTCTGGGGCTTTCCCCACCTCATGTCCTCCTGGAGCCCTCCCCAAGCCCAGTTTGGCTGACACCTAGTGGCACAGAACCTAGGACCCACATTCCACCTCCCAAGGCAGCCCGGCCAGCCCAATGTCCTGCTCCAGCCATGCCCCTCCCCCTATACCCATATGGCAGGGGAACTGGATGCTGGCCAGCATCACCCCAGTGTCTTTTGCTGCCCCCCACCCTCTGGCCTTACGGCTCCTCCTGGACCTCTTGTGTATGCTACCCTGCTGGGCCCTCAGCCCCGTGTACTTGTAGGGGGTAGGAGTAGGGGTGGGGGAGGGTGCTAACAGAATGGAACAGAGGTCTCTAGCTAGGACTCTGGGTGGCTCAGTCCCTGAGGATTGGCCTAACCTCCCACGGTCCCATAGCCTCCCACTCATTTCCATTTATTCATTTACCTTTATTTAGAGCCATTTGCAGAGAGTTAGAAAGATTTACAGTAATGAGGCCGGGTGCAGTGGCTCATACCTGTAATCCCAGCACTTTGGGAGGCTGAGGCAGGTGGATCATTTGAGGTCAGGTGTTTGAGACCAGCCTGGCCAACATGCTGAAACCCCGTCTCTACTAAAAATACAAAAATTAACCAGGTGGTAGCGGTGCATGCCTGTAATCCCAGTTACTCGGGAAGCTGAGGCAGGAGAATCACTTGAGCCTGGGAGGCAGAGATTGCGGTCAGCCAAGATCACCCCACTGCACTCCAGCCTGGGCGACAGAGTGAGACGCTGTCTCAAAAAAAAAAAAAAAAAAAAAGAAGATTTATAGTAATGAATGGATTCTTACATAAAGATTATTTTTATACTTTTTGCAGCAAAAGGAAATTGTAATATTTGTACATGCCCAAGTGAGTAAAGATCATGCCTATGGCTAAAAAACAAGAGAGAAGAAAATTAGATAAATTAATCAATCCATAGATACTAATAACTCCCTCTTTAAATTCTACATTTACTTTTTGAACTTCTTTTTTCTGTAGGCAAACACTGTTGATTGTGTTTAATGTTAACACAAGTACACTCATCTACATAAGTCTATAATAAATAAGAAACTGACTTACAGGAAAGAGAATGGTGGTGAGGTGGGAGTGGAGAAGGGAGTCAGTGAGCAGGAGATCTAGCAGCAGGAAAATGTGGAAGATAAGCCACATTCAGGAAGGGGGAAATGACAGTCAACAGAAACAAGGTTTTAGAAAATAGAAGAGGCCTCCTATCATCATGACGAAGGCTGAATGAGCTGTGAAAGAGAAGTTAAACTGGCTTCGAAGCTGACAAAAGAGTGTAGTAGAGAGATAGCTACCTAGGGAAAGGACTGGGCAAAGAGGCAAATCTGAGACTGTTGAGAAGCCACCAAAGCAGCCCCTCTGACCAGAACAGGGGCCAGAGATCAAGTCTGAGGATCAAGGAATGAGAGGCAAGACGGCCGGTGGGAGAACAAGGTTAGGAAGGTGGGAAAGGTGGGAAGGAGTGGAGAGAAAGACAGGCCTCAAGTGGATAAAACTAGAGCACACCTTTGAGAAAGAAGTTTATTGGGAAATTTGGGAGAATAAGGGCCAGTTGGAAGTGGGCTAGCCCTACCAAAGCTATTTATCTCCATGGTTAAAGTTTCCAAACTAGGGAGTTTCCTGACAGTTCATTAATTTGATGGAGTAGTGGAAGCTTTACCCATCCTTTGCTCCAAATCTCTGAACTTCTTTTTCTATGGTTCTGTCTTGTATGAAATTAAATTTGTAGACAACATTGAAGTTTAGAAATATACATTTTTTTCAGCTGTTTCTTTAGCTGAAATTTTTAAATAACAGCTTTGGTTTATATATGAAAATGCAGAACCTACATACATATGCACATATATATGTGCACATATATATGTATATGATTATATACATAGATATAAAATTAACGGAAAACTTGTAAAAGTTTTAAAAGACATATTAAAAGGATTTTGTTATGTAAAAATGCAAAGTAAATCCTTGTGGGTGTGTTTCCATTTGATAAAAAATAATGTATTTTATCCTTTCATATGGAAAACAGTATATAGCTGGAAACGTGTTCATGTAATATTAAATCTAAAGCAAGTGTATGTAAATTGAATCATACATTATCATTGAGTTCTGTATTAATTGAAGATGGGTTTACAAGGCAAAGACAGATCTTAGGATGCAATAAAATCTGATAAAGAGTATTGAAAACTTAAGTGTTTAAAAGAAAATGACCATGAAATTGTTAAAACAATGATGCAGGACCTACAAAAAGGAAAAGTGCAAATTTAGAGAGCAAATGAAGAGGACAAGAACATACTGGGAGTTTTAGTATGTTCCTGAATGGGAAGATGCAGGATTGTAATCTCTCCTTGAATTTAACAATAAAAAAGTAAACCTAATAAAAGTCCCATTGCAGTTTTGTTTTCCAGAAAAAAATACATATACAGAGACAACCAACAAAATTTTGTATATATTTTTTTTGGACGGAGGGGTCCACAAATCCTCAGAAGTCAAAAAATGAACTTTTGTATAGAAAGCCCATAGAACCTCTGTTGGAGATGTACACATATACAGATATAGAAAGACGTCACAATTAAATGAAAAACACAAGTTAAAAAACAGCAAATAAAGGATGAGTCCATTTTTATTAAAATATATATTTATATGTATTCATTAAAAATTTTGAAGGATTACAACCAGTAATAATACTTGTTATCTTTGGTGAAATCACAAGTGATTTCTATCCCCCTTTTTTTTTTGCCCGTTATCACTTTTGTACAATGAATGCGAATTGTTCACAAAATAAAAATCATAAAACTCTTACAACTCTCACAACTCTCAGAGCAAAGTTTAAAAAACTCAAAAGGTAAAATTCTAAAATATATTATAAATTATAAAAACATATAATTTATAACTATTCAAGTTACTTTCCTTAAGCTATAGGAGAGAGATATACCATACTTGCTGTTAGGTTCTTGAAATGAACTCCACAGTGAAAACCCAAAGCTGTTCCTTCTGTTGCTTCCAGACGGGTTTGATTTGTTGATATGATCTAATTACTTATTTTATGGTCCTGCTTACAGTGGTTGGTGACTATTTCTGCATTTGTTTATCCATCCTTTGTGCAGGCTATCAGGAACCAGGTGTTAGGGATTGATGTAATTTATTATTTCCATAAGTGCACATTTTCACACTGTGGGTTTTCTTTAAGTGGTAGAACCCATATAAAACTGTAATCAGAATAAACATTTGTTTCAGGAAGTCTTAAAAATATCCAGCTCTACACATACAAAAAGATTTTCTGTGAAAAGCATACTGGGGAAAGCAAGAGAGAAAGACAAATATTCTTGGTTGTGATGAAGGGTCCCATTTCTTGTTTTAAAGAATTTCCTGGAGCTCACAAAACCCAAAGAGCAAGGAACATTAACACTGAGAAAGCATTAAACAACTGGAAGAATAAAACAGTATGTTCATGTTTTCACACTCAAAACTTTCTAATTTAGAAGCAAGTACTTGGACTTCTGATGAAAGAGCTGTCTAGGCCAAAAGAATCCAACATATCAGCCATAGTCCAACAAATGGAATTGCCATTTATGCCTCATCCTTTTTAAATTTGCTTTTGCTTTTCATTCATTTGGCCTATTAGAACCCAAAACACTTAATTAAACTTTAGGAGACTAAAATAATCATTAAAATACAGAAACAGCCCTGAGATGGAGACAGGCCTTTTTAATCATATGAGATAACTATTTCTTAAGAACTCAAATGCTTCCATAAACTACCCAAGGATAATTAATACAAGCTGTAGACCATGCTTTTAGTTTTGGTTTTAATATCTTCAAAATGTAGTGTCAGGACCAAAAACACTTTGTACCAAAGTGGAGAAATTTCATCTATAGTGAATTATATTTCATGAATGATTTTAGAGATCTGATTTCTTATAAAATGCAAGGGAGCCATTAATGACCTCTGGGATATTTAATCCACAAAGTTTAGGTTATTGCTTTATAGACAGCCATTATTAGAAGCTGGTAAGAAGGAGCCTAGGAGTCAAGGGATATGAATTCAGGACTAAGTTAGCAGATAATCTGCTAAATTTTTTTTTTAAAACTGCCCAATTACTTGGGCCTCCCCTCTTCAGGTGGTGTGAATTAATCATTTGGTAAATACTGATCATGATGCAGGATGTTTCTCAATTCTCAACCACTGGGACATTTTAGAAAAGGACTATATTTGAATTACGTGACTTCTGCAACATGTCCCTAAAATGACTATTTTCCACAAAGAACACAGAAAAGGTGCTTCCTCAGCCCACATTATCAGTAAATATGATAATGCTTCCTCAGCCCACATTATCAGTAAAAATGAGCTGAGATGGCCAGGTAGAGATTGCAAAGAGGAATTAAATTTGCTTAAATTTGCCATTGCATATAGGGAGAGTCTAACAAGACAGGGAATAAAAAATCAATAATATGCTATCTCATTTACATTTATTCAGAGCGTTTATTGACTGCCTATTGTCAACCAGGTGTTGGTTATATAAAGATGAATAAAACACATCCAAGTCTATCCACCTTAACTTCCCTTGGATTTTGGCCTTTGAAAACCTTTGAGGTTGTGTTAAGTGGTACTTTAAAAAAAAAAAAAGGTATAACAGCAAATATCAACTAACTAACTGTTTTTAAGGCAAAACTATTCATCAAATTATGAAAATAAAAATATAAACTCTGATCATATAAAACAAAGCTAAAATAGGGTTGCAAATATTGCACCAGACATATTTATACAAAACATTATTTGTTATTTACTTGAAATTCAAATTTAATGAGGCATCTTGTATTTTTAGTTGCTAAATCTGGCCACCCTAAGCTGAAAGCCAGAAAACCTGCAGGCATTCCAGCTTGGAGCTGACCGGTGGGTGCTCACTGCTGGGATGTGTGGACCCAGGCATGAAGAAAGGCCTCAACAACTGCTCTTAGTCATTAACTCATTTACCAGTAATAAATTGAAGTTAGGCCCAGTGCTGCTGCTCTTATTCTGAAAGAATAAAACGTAGTGCAAGCATTGCCCACAGCATCTAAATGTTTCCCCACTAATAATATACTACATTTTCAATTGATTTTAAAGCTAATAATTCAGAGAGCTATAAAACTGTTTAGAACCCTTAGGGGGCCAGAATTTGTGAAGACTGATTTTCTCAGGCAAGAATCCAACTTGATAGAAATCTTTGTAAGTCACATCACTTCTCTGGATCTGTTTACGCATCTTTAAAATAAGGAAGCCACACTTACGGCTTTGCTCATATTGATTCCTCTATCTGAAATGTTCTCCCTGTCCAGCTTTGCTTTTCTAAATCTTGTCTTGATTCACGAGTCTGCACATCCCTGTTCTTCCCAGTCAAAAGTAATTTCTATTCCCCGCAATTACCCCGGCACTTCTCTTGTGACAGGTAGAATTTTGACTTTATATTATAGATATTCACATACTTATCTCACTTACAAGATTGAAGGTCTCTGAAGCCAGAATCTGTCATTAATACATCTTTGCAACCCCACCCTTCCATCCCAGCTCATTTTGTTTGCTGCCAATGTTGTGGGCTAAGTAAGTACCTTTTCTGTGTTCTCTGCAGAAAATAGCCTTTTTAGGGGCATTTTGCAGAAGTCATTGGCTGAGCATTTTCTGATTCAAGACAGACTCTCTAAAATTTTGTGCTTTGTACTAACCTGAGCAGTAGCAAACAGGAGTAGAAATAGCTAAAGCAATGAAAATACTGTTGCATACACTCCTGAGATTATGTAATTGCAGTAGGAAGTCTCTGCATTATGGAAGGCTGACTGGGGGCACTTATGGACTATGCAGATAATCTGCCTTTGCAATATAAGCAAGGATCAGCATCAAACCAGAAAGCATGGCCAGTATGAGTGCACAGCATGCACCTGAGTCAGAAAAGGCAGAACCAGACCATGAAAGAAAAAGTACCTAAGCAAGAGTCACAAGAAATCCTACACTAGTAGAGAATTGGCAGCTAAAAATAGTCCTACACACTAAATTATTACAAATCTAGATTACATTGAATATTTATGAAAGTGAGTTTAAGTCATAAAGTGTTTTTCAAGAAAAGAAAACTGAGAATGTTAAAAGGAGAATATTAAACTCAAACCATTTTTTTTTTTTGAGATGGAGTCTCACTCTCTCACCCAGGCTGGAGTGCGTTGGTATGATCTCGGCTCACTGCAACCTCCGCCTTCTGGGTTCAAGAGATTCTCCTGCCTAAGCATCTTGAGTAGCTGGGATTATAAGCACAGGTCACCACGCCCGGTTAATTTTTTTTTTTGTATTTTCAGTAAAGATGGGGTTTCATCATGTTGGCCAGGCTGGTCTTGAACTCCTGACCTCAAGTGATCCGCCTGCCTTGGCTCCCAAAGTGCTGAGATTACAGGTGTGAGCCGCCGCACCTGGCCAACTCAAATCTTTTATGCACAAACATTGTGAAACCTTTGCTTTCCTAACTCAGCAAGGAAACATGATGCTTTGGAGGCTGAAAGCCCAGCTCAGCCAAGAAAGTTTTGAAATGTGCCTAGGGAAGCCATGGGCAGGACAGGGTTACCCAGGGAGTCCCCAGACAGGAACCTGTGTTTACAAGGTTTGGCATGAAGTGGTCTCAGGGCTTCTTACCAGCCATCTGAGCTTCTAGTTGTGTAACTGCTCAATGAATGCCACGTGAGAAATGTTTCTGTGAAATAAGTGATACTGACCGAAACAAGAAGTCTCCTATGTATCTGCTATTCTTCTTTGGCTGATGACAATGAATAATGAAGCAACAAACTTTGGGAAAGTCAGACATTTGACCCAAAGGGTGGCTAATAAGAAAAATTAGGCTCTGTCCTGTGTTTCTTAGTAACAACCTCATAAGTTAGTGGCCCCATGATTACTTGAACTGTGAGGAATTTCATTACTGGCATGAACTCATGAGTTTTATCAGCTGTGGTTACTTCTACATAAACTGTCTGATATTAAAACAAGCACTGGTTAATATACTTCTAACACACCAAAAATCAGTCAAAGACAGTGGTGGATATCTACTTTATGGACCTATTCTCTGTCTTAGTAGAAGCAAGTCTTTAGAATGAAAAGGGGGATACGTTTTCCTACCAGAGGAGACATGAGTCCTTTTCTTGCCTCCTACTGGATATCCCAGAAAATATCATTTCTATAAGACATACCCAGAATGAGGGAACAACAGTGAAGAAAATACAGCATTCCAGATAGGCCTTAGTTTTTGATACCGAACCACGCACACCAATTCTAGAATACCACTTGCATTTTGCCACATAAACTCCTTAGAAGAAGGATTTAAGTTTAAGTCACCACTGTAAACCTCACACCTTTATGGCTCAGGGGTCACAAAAGAGCAGATCTTGAGACAGACCAAACAGGATTCAAATTCTGACTATGCATCTAGTTAGCTGAATGTTATTTGCCTCATGAGGTTACTGGGAAAATTATATTAGACTACATATATAAAAAGTCTAATATAAAATGTCTAATCCAATGCCTACTGGCAAATGCTCAATAAATGGCATTTATTTATACCATAATTATGAACATTTGCTGAATGATTTGATTATAACATGAAAAACACTATGAGGTAGAGAATATTTCATGTCTGTACTTTAACATAATTTTAAATGTCTTTATTTTGCCTGATCATAAAGTAATGCATGTTCATTGCAAAATGTATTTAGAAAATAGAGAAGAAAGGCTGGGTGTGGTGGCTCACACCTGTTGTAATCCTAGCACTTTGGGAGGGCAAGGTGGGCAGGTCACTTGAGGTCAGGAGTTCGAGACCAGCCTGGCCAATATGGTGAAACACCATCTCTACCAAAAATACAAAAATAAGCCAGGTGCAGGGGTGCGCACCTGTAGTCCCAGATACTAGGAAGGCTGAGGCAGAAGAATCGCTTGAACCCAGGAAGTGGTGGTTTCAGTGAGATCGCGCCACTGCACTCCAGCCTGGGTGATAGAGTGAGGGAGGCCCTGCTGCAAAAAGAAAAGAAAATTTAGAAGACAAAAGATTACTCCATCCTGGAACCCAGAGATAATACTGTAAACTTTAGGCGTTTATCTTTCCAGACTTGTTTGTAAACACATATATACACATATATTTATCATCTATGTACATAGCATATACATACATGTGTATTTTTCATCACAAAAGTGAGATCAGAATATTTTATAAAACTAACAGTATAGTTTAGACATATTCCCAGATCAATATGTAGATACATGTATATATATGTAGATAATATATGCATATTATTTATATATGTATGTCTTCATTGACATGGATAACTGTTGCGTTATGTTCCATAAATGTACCATAACCCAATTCTCTATTATAAATAGTTTGTGATAAATATCTTTGTATCTGTGTCCTTAGGGACAAATTTCTAGAAGTAAAATTGCTGGACCTGAAAGCACACTCAGTGAAAGAGTTTGTATTAATGCTTTTCAGGGCTGCCCAGCAAGTGGTAACATGAAAAAAATTTTACAAAGGACTTGCCCCAGGCCTCAGGAACAGGCTTCCCTGTCTGTCACTGGCCTCATTCACTCTACTAGCTGTGTAAGAGCTCATTATACCCTCACCAACTCAGGGTCTCATCGCCTTTTTCATTTTTACCAAAAAGGTTGGCCAAAAATTGCACCTCATTTTAATTTGCATTTCTTTGATAATTAACCAGTTGTTTCTTGATGGTTACTTGCATTCTCCAAACTTACAGGAAAAGTTAGACTATCAGGGAACATAAGAAAAAGTGGCACGCAGGAAAAAGAGGAAACTTGTGGCTGCCAATTTCAATTCAGGGTTTCAGACTAAATAGACAAGTAAGTATACAGTCCTGTACTCTGCCCAACACATGCTAGTTGACTGATCTGGAAAGCACACTGATGAGCAAAGCAGCTGAGAAGCTCTAATAGCAGGAGGTGGGCTCATGAAAAAGAAGGGGAAATCTGATTTCTCCAGGAAATTGTGGAAATGATACAACAGGCAGTAGCTACCTTGACCATAATAATGACAAATTTTTGAGGATGTGGCAAAAGTCGTAAGTATGCTCAGTTAATGATAAACACAGAGGGAACCACTGGGGAAATTGGGTTTGAAGGATGGGAATGAGAATAAAGAGTACTTTGAGGAATAGAGTAGAAAAATATGCAGTCTTAAGTTATCACTGAGTTTAGCTTCTTAGAGTTAGGTTTCAAGAACTAGGACTAATTATTTGCTAGGCAATCAGGGCAGGCTGAGATCAGTCCTTGGGCTGTCTTGGGGAATGTTTGTCTTTTTGCCTATAAGGATATAAAGGCAGGCAATACAGCCAAGCTTCTACAAAAGAGCCTGTGAACACCAGAGGCAAAGGTGAATGCTCAAGCTAGGGTTAATATGAAGAGGAAATGGGGGATAGTTTCATGAGGTATCTTACATTTTATCTTGGTGTGCTTTTGCTGTAAGTTGGATGTATACTGCGAACACAAATTCATGTGCTATTTGGAGTCAATGCTCCATTATGTTGTGCCCAACTAGAAGGCTCTGCCAAACTACCATTTTTTAATAGGTGTAAAATTTAAAAGAAGTAGAATTTATTCCAATGCTTAGCTGAATACGAAGATAATACCATTTCACAGACCAATGAATAACACGAATTATCCTTATTCCATTTGGAAGCATTGTCTACTTTATCAGCACTAGGAAATCCTACACTGGGGTTCCTTAACAAAATGAAAACTTTGGATTTTTCTTACAAGTTCTCAAATCTTTATCTGAATGTCAGAGGGACAAGTATCCATATTGTACTGAGAAGAGAGCTGAAAAATAAAAGCAAAGTGTCTAATTCTAGATTTGGTGGCAGTTCTGAGAGAGCGTAGGCTTGCTTTGACATTGCATATGGACAATTCTCGAAACGTCATTTATTTTCATTTTATTTTTAAACACTTGATCTATACAGACAGTTATTTGGATAATTTTGCAGTAAGTTCTTTGTGCTCCTGATCTTTATTGCTCATTTTGTATATGATCATTTACTTGCCTTAATTTTAATTTTTATTATTCTTAATAGCAGATGCCATGCTTCCTCATATGGTCTTTCTAGGCAGGCACCAGGCTTTATGATTCTTCTGCTTCTTTGACAGCTCTAGCAAAGTACTGCTGGTGCTCAATAATCCTCAAGGACTGATAATTAAGGCCTCAGGACAGATCCAAATCTCCATTTTCCGCAAGCCCAGGGAATCAAACAGGAGGATAAATCTCAATACCTCCTCTTCCAAGTCTCAGGTATGAAGCTAAGACAAACTGTTCTCTCTGAACTCTCTTTAGCCCACAGGTTTGTAAGCAAATGAGATAAATGAGAATATACACCCAAAGGTTAAGTTCTTCACTAATACAAAAATTTGGCACCACCTCCTACCTCAAAACAAAGCAAAACAAAACAGGTGAACAAATGAAATCCTTCTCAGTATCAACAATAACAACAAATCTCAATTCATCTTGCCCATTTATAAGACTGTGTGATATTCACAATTTCATAAAACATTTGAGTATTTTTAGTACAACTGTTATACAGATGTTGAAATGCTAAATTCAGAAAATGGAAAACAGGAGGTTTCGTTGACATGTCCAGTTTTGAAAGAACAGAGAGTTCAAAATAAACACAACTAGGCAGTACCTGAAAGAAGCATTAAGGTATTAAAATAAAGTATCCCTGCTGAACTTCTACAAAGAGATGCAGAGAATTCCACCTGGCATGAATCCTGAAGAAGAGGGTGAAAGAGAAAACAGGGGCCTGGATTCCACATCTCGATGTTGGACATAACATTTACAAGTCCCTTGCAAAATCATCTAGGGGAAAAAGTCTTCACCACCCTCACTCAAGCCCAAAGTGGCTGCCTTTCACTTCTGGCATGTTTCTCATGCACTCAGATATGAGTATGTGCATATACATGTTGCTTTCTTTTTCCTGTCTGTCTGTATCTTTTAGAAAGTCTACAATGAGTACATATTACTTATCCACTTATATATATTACATCATATAAACACACACATTTGCAAATTTTTAAAAAAATCATCACTTTATTTTAAATAAAATGTAATGTTTATGCATCAGCTCTTTTTATGATTCAGGCTGCTACTTTACTTTTGAATTTCCAAATATCTTAAAGGTTTCGGCAAACATCTCCTATTCAGGGAGTATGTGGAACTCTGTTATGGGTAAGAGTGTGGACAGTAAGATGCAAAGCAAATAGCTCCAGTTTGGAAGCATTTTATGGACATTCCATTCTGGCAATTTATAGTTTTTGTTTTGTTTAGCCTTTTAGATAAGCAGTCTTATATCAACTGTCTAAGAAAAGCACCACTTTGAAATGACTAATTAACAGTATGCAATATTACAGTCCAAATATACAAAAATCATACAAATGTTAATGATGAAAATAATTTGAAGATTCCAGAAGCAGATGTAATTTAGATCTCAAAACCAACTACATATATTGCACAATAAATTGGTATATGCCAAGGGAGAACATTTGTTTTTAATTAGCTGTGAAATTTAGTATAAAAGTAGAGTAAGAAAAGCATTTTTTCCAAGGTTCATTAATTAAATGAAACATTGTTTTTCTGTCACTTGGAGGTGTAAAATCAGCAAGTGACATTAATTCTTTTAAGAATGACCTTTAATTTTCTGTAGAAATTTTAGTAAATACAGCCAGGTAAAAATAACCAAAAAAAATCACTTGTAATTCCAGTAACAATTTTATAGTTTTCTTTTCGGGCACTTTTTCTTCCTGTGTGCATGCATGAGTGTATGTTCTAAAGAGGGTCATTAAAACATGATTTGCTTCTTTGTTTTCCAGTAGAGAAGCTTGAAAAGACTTCTATAAATGAAGTAGATTCCTCAGCAATAATAAAAATTGTATCAAGGAATCATAGTAACAGGTAACACTGATGGGGTGCTTGTGGGCCTGGCATTGTGTTCAGTACATAACACGAATTACCCCATCAATCCTCGTAAGAGCCTTGTGATGTGGGTGCCATTACTACTCTCACACAAAAGATGAGTAACAGATGCATGGAGATGATATAAATGCTCATGCATGATGAAAATATTGAGGACTACAGAAAAGGCATGACCATCTTAAGATAGCTAGTCTCCTTAGACTAGGAGAGTCAAGATGAGAATTCAAGCCTCTTAACTCTCAGTCTATTCATATAAAAGTTCCCTGCCTGATCTTAGTGACTAAACAGTTTAGAAAATAGTTGTCACAAAATTCTGAGTATTTCCAGTAATTCCTCAGTCATTCATCCTCATGAACTGAAATCCACAAGGCCTAGCATCCAGTGGATACCAAATCAATGACACAGAAGTGATTTCTTTTTTTTTTTTTTGAGACGGAGTCTCGCTCTGTCGCCCAGGCTGGAGTGCAGTGGCGCTATCTCGGCTCACTCCAAGCTCCGCCTCTTGGGTTCACACCATTCTCCTGCCTCAGCCTCCCGAGTAGCTGGGACTACAGGCACCCACCACCGCGCCTGGCTAATTTTTTGTATTTTTAGTACAGACGGGGTTTCACTGTGTTAGCCAGGATGGTCTCGATCTCCTGACCTCGTGATCCGCCCGCCTTGGCCTCCCAAAGTGCTGGGATTACAGGTGTGAGCCACTGAGCCTGGCCTGGGACACAGAAGTGATTTCTATCAACAGAGGCTGGTCCTGGGGACCCTGAGTAGAGATCCATGTGATTTGAAATGAATGGTTCATGAAAGAAGCCAGAGGGGGCCTGAGCGCCAGGCAGAGTATTCACTAATTCATGCAACAAATATTTACTACTGAGAGCCCATGTGCTAGGTACTGCTTTAGGTTCTGGGGCAGGCACAGTGCTGAACAACTCAGACAACGTCCTGGTCCTCATGCAGCAAAGCAGGGAGAGATTGACAAAGGACAATGAAACATTAAACAGGACACTGCTGCTATAAACGAAAATAACTCTGTATACAGGGGGTAACGAGTGACGGGGGAAGGTATATTCTAGATCAAGTGGCCCAGGAAGGTCTTTCTGATCTGAGACATTTGATCAAGGAAGTGAAGAAGGCGTTTTCAGGGAGAAATGGTGAGGAGACCAGAATGAAAGAGATGCTTGCAGGGAACGGGGTCTTAGCAGTTGCCACAGGCTAGGCCATTTAGGGCCTTTGCATTTGGGACCTGGGTCATAGGAGGGGTTCTGAATAGTGAGGTGTGGTTAATATCATTTGAACAGTTTCATCCATTACAAGAAATTAGGCACAAACTTTCTTGAGATTTTTCATTTTCTTTTCTTTTCTTTTTTTTTTTAATTTGAGATGGAGTCTTGCTCTTGTCACCCAGGCTGGAGCACAGTGGCGCAACCTGGACTCACTGCAACCTCTGCCTCCCGGGTTTCAGTAATTCTCCTGCCTCAGCCTCCTGAGTAGCTGGGATTACAGACACCCACCATCATGCCCGGCTAATTTTTGTATTTTTAGTAGAGATGGGGTTTCACCATGTTGGCCAGGCTGGTCTTGGACTCCTGACCTCAGGTGATCCACCTGCGTCAGCCTCCCAAAGTGCTGGGATTATAGGCATGAGCCACTGAGCCTGGCCGAGATTTTTCATTTTCTAATAAGCAGTCTATATAGGACAGAGTTCAGTCATGTTTCAAACAATCTTCAATAGATGGTTTAGACTCTTCTGTAGGCCTTTCTCTCTCTCTCTCTCTCTGTCTCTCTCCACTCTCTCTCTCTCCAGGTCTACTTCTCATCTTTGAGGTTCATAGTTTCCTGAAATCCACTCCTCCTGCCTTTACAGTGAAGATTCTTGCAGAGTGCAATCCGGAGGGCTTGTCATGTCACAGAACTTGTGGAGGATGAGTCATGATTTTGAAATGTTTTTAATAGTGGTTTTATAACTAAAACCACTTTGGAGGCCAGTGACAATAAACTGAATATAAAAAGGATAAAGCACTATTGGTCCAGAATTAAGTACTGACAAGAGACTGTCCCTAAAAGACTGGTTTGGTATCTAATTTTCACTAGGACTGTATTAACTCAAATACTGTAGAATATTTATTTATTTTATTTGTTTGTTTCATTTGATTTTTAAAATAGTCTGAGGATCACGTTACAAGACATATAGTCATTGGGATGGTATATATCAAATTATATGAGATGGTTTTGAAAAATTATTCTGTCTTACGCTTTTTGGAATAAGTTATCAAATTTTAGGCTCAAGAGAGCCACTGTACCTATAGTTGAAATTTATTCAACTTCAAACATATTGAAGAACTAAATCAAATTAAACTTTTGTTTGATTAGCCAATAAAAAAATTTGAACTGCAACTTAAATATGGTGGAAATGGCTTCTCCTAGAGTTACCTTTAAATGCTAACTTTCAAAGGATGAAAGCATTGATGGGTGTTTTGTTGTCACTTCCTATATAAAATCTTTCCTCTCTGTTTCCTCCCCTTCACAGAACACTCCTCCACCTCCATCTCTACCAGCTGTCTATCACAGCAGGTGGGCATCAGCAAAGAGCGTGTGTGTCTGGACATCTTCCCCTGTCTGTGGCACACCACCTTCCTGAGGGATTATTTAGTTTGTCTCTGAGCCTCCCAGCTCCTAACACAGTGCCCAACATGGTCCTGTTAGTACTCAGTCAGTGTTTATCCACTGGAAAAAATGAATACAGGTATAAATTTGTTTTATTTCAAAGTGCGATTTATTTGATGGATAAACGAGCATTTAAGACTCTTCCTTTAGGCATATTTATTTGCATTTCAATATAAAGCTTGGACATCAATGAAGCTTTTATTAGTACAAATATGTTCTTTTGAAACAAATTCTGTGTGGGTTTTATAATACTATGTGTTTGGATTTAAACTATATTTAGTCTTAAATTATTTAATGTTATAATTACTTTTTAAAAGAAATGCCCCAAACCGATTGGACTTGGAGTATGAGAAAAAGGACAGAACCACAAGAAACTTCTAACTTTCTGGCTTGGGCAACAGTACAGCTTGGAGAGACATTGACTGATGGAGGATACAGTGGTAGAGACCAGGTCTGGGGAAAAATGGAGAGGAATTCAGTTTGGGGCATGTTGAGTTCAGGGCCACCTGTTAGGTAGGAGCTCCTTTTCTCTTCATTGTTAAATATCCAGTGACTGGAATATTTAATTCCATGTAAAAATACACTGGGGAGGAGATGTGGTGATTGATGTGGCTAAGTGAAAGGATGAATTCAGTTGGCAATCCACCTATAGTAAGCTTGCACGTAGGAAGATTATGATCCTATGGATACTAATTGATAGAGTTTGGCTGTGTCCCCACTCAAATCTCATCTTGAATTGTAGTTCCCATAATCCCAATGTGTCATGGGAGGGACCTGATAGGAGATAACTGAATCATGGGGGTGTTTACCCCCATGCTGTTCTCTTGATAATGAGTAAGTTCTCACGAGATCTGATGGTTTTATAAGAGGCTTTTCCACTTTTGCTGGACACTCACTCCATCCTGCCACCCCATGAAGAAGGTGCCTGCTTCTCCTTTGCTTTCTGCCATGATTGTAAGTTTCCTGAGGACTTCCAAGCCATGCTAAACTGTGAGTCAATTAAACTTCTTTTCTTTATAAATTACCCAGTCTCAGCAGTTCTTTCTAGCAGTATGAATACAGACTAATACACTAATTATTACATACCTCAGGTTAGATCAGAGAATTTCCTAACTGACTCTTGGTCTTGACCTCAGTATTATATCAACTCACTACCAGTCACCCTAAAATTTAAATCATCACTTTTAACCTTCCTCTGAAGTTCCAGAATTCAATCTGTGTATTTCTTCGTCATACACAAAAACTGAGCCTTTCTTATCTTTCCTTTCCCAATTTTTCCACCTCTTGATAACCTGTTTTACAGTCATAAGTTATCACTATTTTCCCTTTTTTACCCCTTTTATATGTGAAACCATCACTTCTATTGATTCTTCATTAACAAGATCTCTCAGACTTTTCTCTTCTCTGTTCTTATCGTCACCATTCAAGTCTCTTCCCTCATCCTCACTCCCAAACTGATTATAATGTTTTTCTGATTTCTCACTCCAGCCAATTCTGTCCAATTCTATGAGAGGAGTAATCTTAAAAAAGACGTCATCACATAAATTCTTTCATGGTCACCCTGCTAAAGCTGCAACTCCTGTTTTATTTTTCCTTTTCAGCTTCTGCAATCTGAAATGCTCTATATTTTAGTTATCTTGTGTACTGTCTCTCCACAAGAATGTAAGCTCCATGAGGGCAAGAACATTATTTTGTTTATTCCCATATTTCCCGCACCTAAAACAGTGCCTAGCACAAGGAGAGAGCAAAATAAACATTCATTAAATGAATGAATGAATTTAATACTCTCAGACCACAATTCATTTCCTAGATACCATTAAGGAAGATACCAGCTCCTCTGCATATGGTATTCATAACCCACCATGAGGTCACCATTCATCTGTCTAGTCCTATTCTTCAATTCCTCCATGAGAACTTCAGGCTCCTGCCAGGCCAGTTTCAATTCAGATTCTCATCAGTTAGTGTTTGCTATATGCAAACTCCTATGTTGGTCTCCTGCTATTCTCTACACTCCTTACCCCACCCCTCCCACCCTCTCACATTCCCTTTCAGAATCTTTGTTAGAAGGGTGCCTTCTTCCTCTTGACATCCTTTAGAAATTTTTCAGCTTACTCCATGGGTGAAATCTTCAGTGACTTCCCTCATTTCTGAATTCCTACATAATTATTTTGCTTTTTATTATCATAGTGAGTAAATAATGTATTAACCATATGTAATAAACTGCTATTACATTTTTAAACATGGAACTGAAAAGAGTGCATAGATCACATTTGGTTTAACTCTCTCACCTTACACATAAGAAACCTTAAGTCTGCAGAGTCATTAAAAAACTAATATGGGTAGAATAAAAACTAGAATTAAAGTTAAAATTATCAGCATCCATTTATTCTCTCCATTAATATATTCCTTTGTTCTGTGTTTTATATATACATATACATGTGTATGTATTTGTGTGTATATATGTGTCTGTAAGTTTTCCTTAATAAAACTGTAACTCCTTGGAATTATTTTTTGTAATTTTTTGTATCCTATACCTCTAACCCCCCACCAAAGCACCTATTAAAATGATTAGCGTCTAGTAGGTGCTCAATAAATTCAGCTTGAAGGATTAACTGCAAGAAGACCTCTTTTTCTGTTAGAAAAGGATCCAGATGTTTAGAGGTATCCAGACACTTTGGGGCAAGAGTTAATGAGGTCCAATTCAATTTCATCTCGGAAGTGAAACGTTGCTAACAGAAAATATTTGACTCGCTTAGATTTGGGTCAGGATACAATGCTTCCAAGCCTAGCCAAAGATCTACAGGCTTTTTTTTTTTTTTTTTTTTTTACCAAAGAAACAATTGTATATGTGTTTAGAGACTCAATCACAATCAAATCTTCACCGAAGAAGTTCTGTATACATTAACTTGGCTATACAGCCTTTATCCAGCTGTCTCTTTTCAAATATACCCAGCCACCCCACCCCCCAAAAAAGATGTAAACTAAAAATATCATAATAACTGGAGGCTGACATCTGAAATCCTCTTAAATTAAAGCATCCAAGTCCATGCAACAAATATTTACATTAAGCATAGAAATGCTGGGAAATGGCTCAAAAAATCTGATAGGGCTAGTCATTAACAGACATCTTCAAACTGCACAATTCATACTAGATAAAATACCGTATCTACTAAATATCTGCTTTCTGATATTCTTCAGAGAATGTCTGATGGTAATATCCTTATGCCATGCCAATCAACATAAACCTGCAGGAATCTGCAGGACAGAGAAGTAGAAGAGGATGAGAGCAATTCTGCCACTGTGTCCTGACAAGCTCTGGGACACATACTCTCTCAGTACCATCATCCCCCTCCTGCCTGTCTCCTGGAGAGTTTGGGCGCAATAAGAGGACTGAAGCTGATTCACATTCCTGAATAAATATCCAGGGGCCCTAGAACACAGAGCAGTACAGACTAATGGTGTTAAATAGCAGTAGCACTTTAGGGGTAAATTTTAATTTATCACTTTCATTTTAAGATGATAAAAGACTCTTAAGTCCGTTGAAATGTAGGTTGTACTAATGTTCAATCTAGGTAATTATGGGAAACATAATGATAACAATTTAACATAAACAATAAAAACAGAACACATTGTCTGAATAATCTGCACTGTCAGTTGTGAACGAGTGCCAAATTTACTACTTTTGTGAAACTGTATGATTTGCTTTGGCAGGGTGATTTTCGTTTGCAACATTTGTTCTCCCTAACTGCTAGTCAGAAATCACTAATAAGACACAATGATACATAGCACACTTCTCTTGACAGCAGACAAGTCATTTCATTGGGAAATGCTGAAGTTTATTTAGTAGCACGTGAACTAGTTTTACATGATTCCTGAGCCCAAAAGTAATTATTGATATCTCTGCATTCTCGTTGTATTTTGTTTATATCTTCTCATAATGTTTATATATCACATCATTACTTGTGCTCATGTCTGTCACCACCACTAAATTATGAGTTTCTTGAGAGCAGGATCTAGGTTTTGCTCATATTTGTGCCCCACTCAGGGCCTAACATAGAGTTTTGTGAATGTTAGATAAATAATGAGTGTTAAATGAATGAACAAATAAACTAATTGCACAAAAAACTACTGGCAACCCTCCATACTGTCTATAGGATCTGTTGAGGTTGACATTTGTATATTTCTCATCTATAGATCAACAGAAATCAATCCAGGATCTATAAGTCCTTCAGTATTTCAATCTATTGTCACAATTTTAGTTTTCATTCTATCGCCCAAACTCTTGTGAAAGAAAAATTTAATTGTTATTTGACTGCTATGCCTTCTAAACAGAAAAATTCATTTATGGAATACATGGCAAGTTAGTAAAAGATATAATATAAATATTATACAATAGTAAGAATCATAAAGAAGATATAACAAAATTTGCTCATTCTTATTGCATATACTTTACTGCATTTTTCTTTTGTTAAATTACAGTCTGTGGTCATTCCTTGAGAAAGGATCTAGGGTGCTATCCTTTCGGTCTGAAAGTTTGCATGTCGGCAGAATGCCTTTTTTCATCTTCACATTTGAATACAAATTTGGCTAGATACAGAAAAATACATTTAAAGTACTTTTTGTTTGTTTCCTTAGCACTAGATGTTCTTGTTTTCAGAATTATTGATGAGAAGTTTGCTCTAAATCAGATTATTGATTTAGAGTAATTTTTTTTCCTCTCTGGTAACTTTCATGATTCTTTTCTGTATTTTGTGGCTCTAAAAATTTTCTACAATATGACTATATGGCTTAGCACTTGGTAGCTTTTCATTCTGAAGTTGCATGTCTTATTTTTTTAGTTCTAGGAAATTCTGAGATATTATTTCTTAACTATTGGCTCCTCTGCATCATCTCTATTTTCTCCTCACCAACACCTATTCATCAGATATTGGTAAATATAGAGCTATTCTCTATGACACTTTTCTTTTAACCTTTCTCTTTATCCTTTTATCTCATATTCTGGAAGAAATCCTTAGCCCTGATCTTCCTAGCTCACCAATCTGCCCCTCGGTTTTTTCATTCTGTTATTGAGCCATCTGTTAAGTTCTTAATGACAACAACTATATTTTTTCATTTCCAAGATTTCCCCTTGATTTTGCTTCATAAAAGTCAACTACTGTTCTTGTTTTATAGATGTAATACCATATTCTATTTCTCTAAAGATATTAATCACTTTGGGTAATGTTTAGTTCTAAGGCCCTATGGGTTGTACAATCTTCTTGTTCTTATCATTCTCAGACTTTTGGCCTCATATTTCTAATTCCAGCCACACCTGAACCATGGGCTCATCTTTCCTGGACTCTCAGGTATCTCAGCTTGAGCAGCTTGTCTGGGATGAGGGGCTGAAGCAGCTGCCAGTGCTTGAGCGTCTTCTTATTTTTCTTTTTTTTTTTTTGAGATGGAGTCTCACTCTGTTGCCCAGGCCGGAGTGCAGTGGCGCGATCTCGGCTCATTGCAAGCTCTGCCTCCCGGGTTGACGCCATTCTCCTGTCTCAGCCTCCCGAGTAGCTGGGACTACAGGCGCCCGCCACCACACCCGGCTAATTTTTTTGTATTTTTAGTAGAGATGGGTTTCACCATGTTGGCCAGGATGGTCTCGATCTCCTGACTTTGTGATCCGCCCGCCTTGGCCTTCCAAAGTGCTGGGATTACAGGCGTGAGCCACCACGCCCGGCTGCTTCCTCTTATTTTTCGTGAGAATAGGGGATGGGTAAATAAAGCTAAAGACAGCAACTGGTCTTCAGAACTTCTCTGGGCTCTCTGTCAGCTACCTGGGGCCCTTCCCTGTCTCTCCATTCTTAACACTGCAGAGGAGGAGGGCTCAGGAGTTCACAGGACAAACTGCCCCACTACAACAGCTCTACCAAATGCTCATTGGCTGTTCCTAGCCCTCTCCTGCTCCAGGGCTCCACACTTCCAGACGTGGAGCAATTATTATGCTGCACCCATGCCTTAGTCTATCCTTTACTCTTGTCCATCTCAAGTCCCACCTCTCGGTCCCTCAGGAATTCCTTGAAGTCTCTAGACCATCAAGAAGTCGGCTTCCTGTTTTTAGGTATGACGAGAGATCCATGTGTTTATCCCAGTGCTATAATTCTCTAGATTTGATACAATAGAGGGAACCTGCAGCACACTCAGTCTGACATACTGAAACCACCATATTCAAAATCTTACCCTTAAACTAAGCCTCCTGAAAAACATACAGGATACACAGGAATTCGCAGAAACACTGGTACTGATTTTTTTTTCTTTTTTTGAGATGGAGTTTCACTCCATGCTGGAGTGCAATGGTGCGATCTCGGATCACTGTAACCTCTGCCTCCCGGGTTCAAGCGATTCTCCTGCCTCAGCCTCCCGAGTAGCTGGGATTACAGGCATGCACCACCACACCCGGCTAATTTTGTATTTTTAGTAGAGACGAGGTTTCTCCATGTTGGTCAGGATGGCCTCGAACTCCTGACCTCAGGTGATCCACCCGCCTCAGCCTCCCAAAGTGCTGGGATTACAGATGTGAACATTGGTAGTGATTGAATATGTTGCTTTTAGACTCAGTTTCCCCCTTCCCATCTTTGACTCTGCATCACAAGAAACTACATTCCTAGACTTTTTTAGCAACTGGCTTCTGGATAACTTCAGCCAACAGGAAGCACTGGTGGAAGACTGAAAGGGGGACGTGAGAGAAGCCAAGGATGTTCCTCTGGACAGTGTCTCGACTAGCACCTGTGGCTCTTCAGTGGCTGCAGCGGCTGTCACACAGCACTCAGTATGGTCTAGCTTCTGCCTGTCAGCTCCTGCTCTTAGGTTCTGGTATCATCACCTTCTCCTGTTGTCCCTGCAATCCTAGGGGCATAGAAGCTCCTGCTGTTACTGATCTCTGGGGTGTTGCTTCATTTCCTGTTTAGTTTCTCAGCAAAACTGTCTCCTGGCAGTCAATTTCCTATATTAAATTCCTTTTGTTAAAAGGCCTAGACTGGTTCTGTTTTCTTGGCTGGATCCTGACTTGTAGATCAAAATTCTGAAGAGACATTTTCAAAGACAATAATTGGTAATTCCCTTCTTTGAGGGGAAAGGAACACCATAGTGAAGATAGTTTGAGGTTAGTGTTCTCAATATCTATGATATCCCAAGTTGTTTGAAGAAATGACATAAAACTTTTTTTAAAGTGAATTTTTGTCAATATGCTTCCCCTTAATTGCAAATATGCCACAAAGCAGTCTTGCAAGAAAAGCCTTAGGGGCCTATCATGTTATTAAATACAGTGTTCTGGAATTAGGAAACACTACCCCGTAGGAGTGAAAGCTTTGACTATAACAGAAACCTTGCTGAGGCTTCTCAAGCTTTAGACCTACCTCAGGGGCAGCTATGAAATAGTTTAAAGACAACCACTTTTATTCTCTCTCTAATTTACCATTTTCTCCATTGAGGGAGGGTTAGGTGAAATTATAGTATATCTTTAGAAATCCTATGTAGCTCTATTTCTCATTTGGAAATAGAGAATGCCATGGCCTTCAAAGCCTGGCCCATTCTTACTACCCAACACATGCTTAATAAGCAGCACAGAAACAAGAAAGCCCACTGTGATCAGAGAGAGAATGAGAGCCACATTGCACCACTGATATGCCATATGGCTGCAAATCTAAAGGCTCTGAAAGATGCCGCAGTTGTATAAAGCCCTGAATACCTGCTTTCATTCCCAGTTAGAGTGTTCGAGCTATAATATATGGGCCATCCATTTATTAAAAGAGAGAGCTTACTTTGGCATGGGATAAATTGGTGCTTGTGGCAAGATGCTGTTTAATACAAAGGATGTCTCTTGAATTCCTTTCAGATCTGAGACCCACAGCTCAAGAGTGTTTGGTGTGTGTGTTTTAAAATTGCATGACTATTATACAATTCCTTTTCTTCAGCTGGCATGAGAAGGATATTCCCATCCTCTCTTTGCTCTGTTCTTTACTTCCTCAAAGCTGAGGCGGCAAAAACACTGCCAGCCTTATCCAGCTTTTCATGGAAAGCCGCCACTCTTAACTGGCGCCTAAATGCAATTTCAGACTGTCCCAGGAGACCTTCATGCTTTGAGGTGAATTCATAACATTAGGGCCAACAAAGAAGTTAACACAAACTTTCACTGTTAAAGAAAAAGAAAAAAAAGTCTGCAGACTTACTGAAGGAGCTCTGCTTCTGTGAGTGCCTCTGTCCTCTGCTCCCCAGTGACCATGGCCAGTTCATCCTTCAGTTCCTGGATTTCCTTTTGTAGGCGTTTAATCACCTACAAATGGCAAAGAGGCAGAGAAAATGTCAACTTCTCATTAAGGTGAACTTGGTGACAGAGAACATACAGCTCTTAAAATTATGGACAATTTTATGGACACAAAAATGGGTAATGGTATAAAAAGCCAGCTTTGTTAAATCTTAACGTTTTGTCAAAATAGTTCTAGATTTTTTTTTTTTTTTTTTTTGGAGACAGAGTCTCGTTCTGTCACCCAGGCTGGAGTGCAGTGGCATGATCTTGGCTCACTGCAACCTCCGCCTCCCGGGTTCAAGCGATTCTCCTGCCTCAGCCGAGTAGCTGGGACTACAGGCGCATGCTACCATGCCCGGCTAATCTTTTGTATTTTTTTTAGTAGAGACAGGGTTTTACCATGTTAGCCAGGATGGTCTCAATCTCCTGACCTCGTGATCCACCCACCCTGGCCTCCCAAAGTTTGAGTTTACAGGCATGAGCCACCTCGCCCAGCCTCTATAATTTTTTTTAAAACAAATAAAACATTACTGATGTAACTGGAACCCCCTATTGGTATCCCCCCTCCGTCCTTCCTGGGGTGATCACTGTACTGCATTTAAGGGGTCTGATTTCTCTGTGTGTTTTCATACATTTACTCCATATGTATGCATGTACTCATAAATAATGTAGTGTATCATTTTGCATGCCCTAAACTTTATGTAAATGTTACATTACTGCATGTAATTGCAACTTGTTTTTGTCCTTCACATTATGTTTTTAAGCTTATTTACATTGCTTCATGTGGCTCTAGTTCATTAATTTTCATGGATATATAGTATTTCAGTAAAGGAATATATCAGAATCTATTTGTCTCCTGTTGATGAACATTTAGGATTTTTACTTTTGCTATTACGAACAGTGTTGCTATGAACATTATGAATCTCTTTGAGCACGTATGTAAGAGTTTCTCTGTAGTGTGCACTTTAGAAGTAGGATTTCCTGGCTGGAGAGTATGTGCATCTTGCCTTTATTATATATTGTTAAATTGCTCTTCAGAGTAGTACAAATTTACATTCCTATCAACTACAGATGTAAGTTCCTGTTTCCACATTTTTGTCACTATGTAATATTGACAGGTACTTTCATTTTGCCAATCTGTTAGGTGTAAAATGATATCTCATTTTAGTTCTAATTTGCATTTTCATGATTATTTGTGCAGTAGGTCATTTTGCATATGTATATTGGCAGTTTGGGTTCTTCCTTGCTCAAATTATTTATTCCCATTCTTGTCCATGTTTCCATTTACTTGTTTTTCCTTTCCTTATTGATTTGGTAGCTTCTTTCTATATTCTGGATGTGAATCCTTCGTTAGTTTTATGCAATGCACCTGTTTTCTCTCAATCTCTGTCATGTTTTTCACTTTGCAGTGTTCTTTTTGTTAAATGAAAGTTCAGAATTTCAATATAATCTAATTAGCACCTTCTTCCTTTATGTGTTGTACTTTTGTGTCATTTGAAAGAAAATCTATCTTATCCCAAATCATAGGAATATATTCTTATATGATCTTTTAAAAGTGTTAAAGGTTTGATTTTCACATTTAGGTGGATTTTACTTTGTATAAGGTATGAAATAGGGATCAAATTTTAATTTATTTTAAATGGCTAACCATACAAGATTTGCTATTATAATTATATAATATGTTTATATATATAAATGTGTCTATTTCTGGGCTATTGGTTAAACACATTTGTTTATTTTACTATATATGGCAATACCACACTAATTTAACTACTAAATCTTAAGAAAGTTGGCATCTAGATAAGATAAGCCCGTTTCATCCTGTTCTTTTCCAAAATAGACTTGGCTATTCTTGGCCATTTGCTCTTCCATGTACATTTTAGACCCAACTTGTCAAATTCTACCAAAGGCTCTCCTCAAATTTTAACTGGAATTATTACATTTAGTTAAAAGGTTAATTTCGTCAGACATCAAATTAATGATATTAAATTATCCCATCCATAAACATGGTATAGCTTTCCACTGATTCCTTTCAATAAGGATCTATAATTTTCTTTTTAAATACCTTACGTGTCTTTAATTATATTTTATATCAGGAATTTAAAAGTTTTTGTTGACACTGTAAATAGAATTTTTATAAAATTATATATTCTAACTGTTGGCTTCTGGCATATAGGAAGGCAACTCATTTTTATGTATGGATTACATACCAAATAATTTTCTGAAACTTTGGGGGTTCTATTTATCATTAAATACTCTTGGATGTTCTATGTAAGCAACATAATTATCTGTAAGTAATGACAGATGTTTTTCTTCTTTTCTAATTCTTATATATCTTATTTCTTGTTATTGTCTCATTTTCCTAGCTAGGACTTCCAAGTTCAATTCTTAAGACATTCCTGTCTTATTTCTTCTAAAATTTCACCTTTAAAATGATGTTTTCAAAGTATGGTTGAATGTTTAATGTGCTCAAACACTTTTTCTGCAACTAGGGATGAAATAATATAATTTCTTTCTTTAAACTCTGAATGTGATGAATCATATTAATTCATGTGATTAGTATTTTAGTATAAACCATCTCAGGCATATAAAATAGTATAAAAGAATACCTTGTACCCACTACTTAGCTTAAGTGAACATCCATGTACCCTGTACTTAAGAAATAGAACATTACAGACCTGTCTGAAGACCTCACCCCTGCATAGTCTTCCCTGAATGAATTCCCCATTACCATTATCCTAAATTTTGTTTTAACTTTTCTCATTTTTTTCTTACAATATACATTGATGCATTCTCTAGTGATAGATTACTTTGAATTCCCAAAATAAACCCAACTAGTTCATGATAGTACATGTCATATTAATAATCTTCCTATCATAATGCAAAATTCCTAAAAGAAAAAAATTAGCAGGCTTGATCCAGCTTTCATCCTTTCTGGAATATTTGGTAGTACTCAAAACTTGAAAGAAAAACACCATAGGATCTGGTCTGTCCTTCCTTCCTTTCTTCCTCTTAGTAGCTTTACTTTCTTTTTTTTTTTTTTTTTTTTTTTGACACAGAGTTTTGCTCTTGTTGCCCAGGCTGGAGTGCAATGGTGCCATCTCAGCTCACTGCAACCTCCGCATTCCAGGTTCAAGCGATTTTCCTGCCTCAGCCTCCTGAGTAGCTGGAATTACTAGTGCCTGCCACCATGCTCGGCTAATTTCTGTATTTTTAGTAGAGACAAGGTGTCACCATGTTGGCCATGCACCTGACCTCAGGTGATCCACCCACTCGGCCTCCCAAAGTGCTGGGATTACAGGCATGAGCCACTGCGCCCGGCCCGCTTTACTCATTTTCTAACTTCTTTTGCTTGGGGATTGTCAGACTAAAGGGGTTATGTAAATTTGAATTTCAAACCTACATGAGGTAGAGCTAGGGTTTCAAATTTTTCAAAGTAGTTTTCAGAAAAACTACTTTTTGTTTTACCTATAGTCCATTTGAAAGCGGACAAGCTGCCCTGACATCTCCATATGGTAGTGGATAGATTTTTTTTTTTATAGTTGTCCCTTTTACTGGTTTTATGTTGGGGAAAAGAGAGGATGTCTTAGGTTCAGCATCCATCTTGCAACATCCCAGGGCTTTAATCTCTATTCCTTTGCTACAACCTCCTTTACATCTCCACTCCAGGACAACTGCAGCCTCAGCTTAGTTTTTGGGCCCTGGAGAATTCCCTTACTTCCTTTCAACCTTACATATGTATTTCAAAGATGCTTAGGTATATAGGTGAGTTTCAGATTATTTGGGCCATATCAACAGGACCAGAAATCCCAAAGAACATGATATTGAGTATTTTGAACATGTCACTGTTCCTAGAATTTTACTGAAATGTATCGGATCATGTGGGTTTTGTTTGCTTCTTTTTTAAAAATATTCTTAGGATCATCAATCTATACAGAATGAAAATCCTGAGATAGTAACTACATTGGCACCCTTCTCTATTAAACTAATATTGATGCCATATTTTCTATTTTTACTAAGGCTTTTAAGTCAAATCTAATACCAAATTATTCTCCTGTCTTATTGAATAAAAATCTCAAAACTAAGCCAAGTTTTTTTGGTTTTGAGATTACTACAGTTATGCCTCCCATCCAATTACTGAAGGAACCCTGGCATTAGAGACATCCTTAGGAGATTTGAGCTCATGCCCAGTCACCACAGGCTCTGGCCTTGTTCATAGTTCTTTTACCACCTTGTCTCTCTGAGGTACCAATACTTTTTTTGTTTTGTTTTGTTTGGTTTGGTTTGGCTTTTTTTGAGATGGAGTTTTGCTCTTATTGCCCAGGCTGGAGTGCAATGGTGCAATCTCGGTTCACTGTAACCTCTACCTCCTGGGTTCAAGCAATTCTCCTGCCTCAGCCTCCGGAGTAGCTGGGATTACAGGCATGTACCTCCACGCCCGGCTAATTTTTTTTGTATTTTTAGTAGAGATGGGGTTTCTCCATGTTGATCCAGCTGGTTTCAAACTCCTGACCTCAGGTGATCCATCCGCCTCAGCCTCCCAAAGTGCTGGGATTACAGGCGTGAGCCACCGTGCCTGGCCTGAGGTACCAATACTTTTAAAGAAAGCAGGGCAAATCCTTATCGGCTGGCTCCATATTTGCCATTAAATTTTAAAAGTAAGACATAGGAAATGCCACCCAAGTTTTGTCTTGAGTGGTTTGTAGGACAAATTCTCAACTGTCATTTGTGCCTCAGACAAGCTCTATACATAAAATGACTGACAGTAATGTCAGTTTTTAGAGGCAATTATAAAAGAGACCAGGAAACAACACTTGTCAATTACCAGATTAATCTGCACCAGGAAGACCTCAACATTTGTTCAATTATCAGCTATTAGCTTTTGATTCCTGATTTCTCTTTTCTTCAAATCTCTCACAGACCTATATCAAACACATAATAATGTTTACCTTTCTTCAAATTCTTCACATTCCTTCAAAGAAAAATCTCTAGCCAAATGCAAAAAACAAACAAACAAACAAACAAACAAAAACAAAACCCTCCAATGTCTAATATGTTTATTTTCCTTAAATTCTGAACTAGTTTTTGTCTTGGGGCTAATAACTTTGTTAACTCTCTTTCTCATTCAGCACTGTAATGCTATAGGGCTTCTGGAAGGGTAGGGACAGCAACAAAATCCACCCTAGCAGTTCAGTTCCACCTGAATCTTGACTTTGCATGCTGTCTCCTCTCTCCAGCAGGAACACTGTGTGATGCTGATACCTGACCAGGGCCTTTGCTGAAACAGATCCTGCCTCACTCATTGGTTTCTGCAGAAGAGAACTCCATCAGAGGAGCTTGGTGCTTTCTGAGGCAAGAAGAACATAACAGACAGCCCCATTATTCCTTTGTCCTCCTTCCCCCTCTGTCCTTCCATGGGGAGAAAGAGGAGAAAGGACAAACAATCAAGAGGAAGTAATTAATATGGGTAACAATTAATTTGTTGGTTTTTTTTTGATTTGAGAAATTTATAAGTGAAACACTGTTGGTAGGATTTCACTTCTTTTTTTTTTTTTTTTTTTTTTTTTTTTTTTTTTTTACAGTGCAGATTACTAAGCCCCTACCAGCTTATTTTCTAGAGAAATAAGAAAAACTGAGTGATTTGAAAAATGATGCAATCTTAATTATGGAATTTGATACAATTGAGATAGTTTAACATTTTCAATGTTGGCATAAATGGATTCAGTGTTGCATTTCATTTACAGAAAACTAACAAAATAGAGAACAGAAAATATCTGCATTTATGATGAGCTAAATTATTACCATGTAAATTTTTTTGCTTAAAAACAGTTCTTTGATAAAGCAGGATTTACTGTTATAAAACTAGAAGTTTGACAGATCAAGCCAATAATGAATTTTAAAAAACTCTAGAACAAATAACAGAACAAGTATGTAAAATATGGTTCTACTGAATGGCTATTAGGACTTTTCTTTCTTTCTGAGCTTTTATATAAGATGGACTATTATTGGCCCGGCGCGGTGGCTCACACCTATAATCCTAGCACTTTGGGAGGCCAAGGTGGGTGGACTGCCTGAGCTCAGGAGTTTGAGACCAGCCTAGGCAACTCAGTGAAACCCCGTCTCTACTAAAATACAAAAGAAATTAGCTGGTTGTGGCGGCGTGTGTCTGTGGTCCCAGCTACTTGGGAGGCTGAGGCAGGAGAATTGCTTGAGAGGCGGAGGTTGCAGTGAGCCAAGATTGCACCACTGCACTCCACACTCCAGCCTGAGCAAGACTCTGTCTCTAAAAAAAAAAAAAAAAAAAAAAAAAAAAAAAAAAAAAAAAAAAGACTATTATTGTCTCTAGATAGTTAAACTGATGTATTTTGAAAGGCTAAGTTCTGCATATAGATGTAATCATGTGTGGTTCTGTTGTATGAGTCCTTAGGATTCCCTGCATGTCTTTGAAGTGAAACAATGGGGAGCTGCAAGTAGGAAGAGCAAGTGGCTTTTGAGTTAGATTGCCTGCGTGTGAAGCCTGACTCTGCTACTTATTAGCACTTATGACTCTGAGCAAGTTATCAAACATCTTTTTACCTCAGTTTTGTCATCTTTAAGGTGGAGATAGAGATAGCATCTACTCATAGGTTATTTAGAGGATTAAATGAGTTAATATGTTTCCACTACTTAGAACATTCCCAGTACAGAGCAAGTGCACCTACAAGTTTTAGCTAATCTTTGATATACTTTAATATATTTTTTAAAATATCGTTAAAAGTTGCTTACTAATCTGGGGTTAATTTCTTCATTAAGAACAGCTTCATTCTTTATGAGTGCCACTCGCTGTGCAAATCTGCAGGTTGATATAGACTCCTAAGAAAGCAAAGTAACTTCTTAAAATATTATGGCATAGAGAGATATTTCTTTCTAGATAAAACTTATCTTTTATTCACAGAAAAAAGATACACACCTAAAAAGTGATGTGTATAAAACTCACAGTGAGGAACTATGCCCCTAAATTAGGAAGCTTTGCTCTAGAACAACAGTCCCCAACCTTTTTGGCCACAAGGGCCTGGTTTTGTGGAAGACAATTTTTCCATGGACAGAGGGTGCAGGTGGTGTGGTTTCAGGATGAAACTGTTCCAACTCAGATCATCAGGCATTAGATTCTCATAAGGAGCGGGCAACCTAGATCCCTCGCATGTGCAGTTCACAATTGGGTTCACGCTCTTATGAGAATCTAATGGCACCACTGATTTGACAGGCAGTAATGCTGGCTCCACCACCACTCACCTCCTGCTGTGCAGCTCAGCCCCTAATAGGCCACAGACCTGGTACTGGTCCATGGCTCGGGGGTCAGGGACCCCTGCTCTAGAACATTATTTTTTAACCAAATTTTATTTTGGCTTAATAAAATTACCAATGACAAAAAGTGAGAGATCACAAGGTCCTAAGTGGCAGCTGGTATAGTATGTGTTTTCAGTTGTTGATCACTTAGACCAGAACCACATATATAAATCATAATCATAGCAAGAGCCATAATCCACACACATGAAAGATCACAAAATAAAGATTCATAATAGGTCAAAAAGAGAGGTTTGTCAAGGCATCTTACAATCAAAGTCTTGGCCTTGTTTCCTCTTCTGAGGAGTGTCTGGATTCCAAACATTAAACATCAGCTGACTCTAAAGCAACCCAGAAGAGCCATTCAGCAGCTGGCTCCTGCCAAAGCATCCTGGTTGCTTCACTCAGCAACATTTCTAGGGACACATCTCAGAGATATCTCCAAGGTATCCGGATCTTAGTCATCAGGGCAAAATCAAGCAAGAGAAGCGGATGGGTCAGCTCTCCCATTTCTTTGGGTGACATTGCCAACCCATCAGTAGGCCTTCCAAAATCTGTGTATGAGGCTTCTTCAAACTATCCTGTGCTATGTGAAGTCAATTCTCAAATGGGGTTATTATAACAATGACCCACAAATAGCCCACAGCTATAACAAATAGCCCACAGCTGTGAACTCTGTAGGGTACTGCCCTCTGAAGGCATACCCAGCTGAAAATGTAGAAACCCACCCAAGAGCCTCAACTCCGTCTCACGTGCTAGCAGTAAAAACCTAGATTAAGATCTCCAGAAAGAAGAGCCCACATACATCAAGATTCCTTTTCTCCAAGGAGAGTGTTGCAATCATAGTTGTCATGCAGTTCCCTCCCAAACTGTCTCTTAGGACACTGGTCATCATGGAGTTTCTATAAGGAATGTGCGAACGGTGCTTTTCTGAAAGGGCAATGATAACCTGTGGTAAAGTAGAAAGATAATGGGATTAATTTAGCAAGAAAATGCACTCCTGACAAACAACAGAGCTTCAATAGCAATAAAAATGCAAAAGGAAATAATAACTAAATGCACGGTGAAGCCCAAAACTTAAGTACAGAATAAATATCTTGACAACAATATTCAGTACAAGATGGTGAAGACTGAATAAAGTAAATGTAGTGTAACTGTAGCATTGTGAGCCCCATAATTTTTGGACAAATGAAATAACCTGTATAGAACTGGATACACTATTATTCTGTTTTTAACGATTGGAAAATTTGTATGAAAACACAAGAGTAAAACATGCCTGATTACTTCAATTACTTTAATACTACCAAAATTGGGCTGTACACCAGTAAGCAAGAACTAAGGGAAACAGTATAGGATAGTGGTTGAGGTCCCAGATTCTCATGCAAGATTGTCTAGGTGCAAGTCCTGGCTTTCCTAGGGCACATCACTCAACATGCCTCAGTCTCCTCATCTGTAAAATAGGAATAAAAATAGTATCTACCTCACAGGTAGTTGAGATGATTAAAAGAGTTAAAATGTGCAAATTATTTTGAATAGTACCTAGCCCATAACAAGTGCTGTATATAGGTTTGCTCCCATTGTAAGCAATGGGTAGTTGACCTTGGTTCAATTCAGGCTTGCTCACCTTACTCTTCATGAGTTCCTTAGGTACTTAATAGGAAGGTACTAGATAGATGGATGGCAGATGGAGCAAAGGCTGCTGGGGTTGTCCCGAAAGGAGGCACCTGGGGCTCAGGGTTATCCCGGGCAGACAAATCCAGTGCTAGAATGTTCATTACAAAGCAGCAGGAATCAGCCACCCACAGGATGTGTCTTTAAGGGCATCACAAAGCCCTAGCTCCTGAGAATACCTCCGCCAATGCCTGTCATTGTTCTAGTCCTCCCTCCTTCCAGGTGTGTGATTTCCATCACCAGAACCTCCTCTACTCTTTTGGTTTACAAAACGAAAAGGGAGCATTGCTTTCTGAAGGCTGTTTTAAGCAACATATGTAACTATACCACTAGTCTCATTCTAAATTCATGACCACAGGTGTTGGTAAATTCAGTCATCCTGTGATCTCTCTCTCTCAAAAATCACTTTTCAGCTCTCAGAAATGAGACCTTCACACTTTTCTCCTTTTTCTTCAAACCTTTGTTCACCCTCTCCTCTCCTCAATTTCACTTCGAGCTGATGGCCACACTTCTACTAGATATGATAGATATAGATTCGGAACCCTGACCAGGACTATCTCATGTCTCCATCATTAAATCCCCTGTACATTCTGCCCTTCACCTTCTTATTGTCCTGCTCCTGTCTAAGGCCAGCCCTCCATCCTTGGCCTCATCTGCTCCCTCCTACTTTTCTCCTACAATTACCTCCTCTCTCTTCTGAATTAATTTCCCTTTCATCTGGACAATTCCCATTCTGCATGCCCACTACAGTCCTAAACTAAGATGGCTCTTGCCAAGGTCATCAGCAACCTTCATTGTACCAAGAGCACTGATTGCCATCTTACTAGACTTCTGAGCTGAGTAAGCATGCAACACTGGTACTCACTGCCTCCCTTGGGAAACACTTTGTTCACGTGGTAACTGGGACACTACACTTTCCTGGTTTTCATCTTTCCTCAAAAACTAGTTAATGAATGTTTCTTTTTTCTTATTCCCAAATTACAAACTTTGTAGTGCCCCGGGGCTCAGTTCTTGATCCTGTTTTCTGTCTTATCTACACTTTCTCCCTATGTAATCTCATCCAATCACCTGGCTTTAATTATTATTTAATTCATTTATTTATTTATTTGAGACAGAGTCTTGCTCTGTTAATGCTGAAGTGTGGTGGCACAATCTCAGCTCACTGTAGCCTTTGCCTCCTGGGTTCAAGTGAGCCTTGTGTCTCAGCCTCCGGAGTAGCTGGGATTACAGGCGTGCACCACCACACCCAGCTAATTTTTTGTATTTTTAGTAGAGTTGGGGTTTTGCTATGTTGGCCAGGCTGGTCTCAAACTCCTGGCTCCAGTGATCCACCCGCCTCGGCCTCCCAAAGTGCTAGGATTACAGGTGTGAGCCACTGTGCCCAGCCATTGCCTGGCTTTTAAATGCATTTATATCCTGATGTCTTCCCAATTTATACCATCAATCTCAACCTCTTCCCTGTGCTACTATCATCTTGGCAACTCTACATCTCCATCTGGATTTCTATTCTTGATTTTCTTTCCTCTCTGCCCCCAAGCCTGATTCTTTCCCAGATCTCACCCATTATTATTAAGGCCCCAACATCAACCCGGTTGCTCAAGCCAAAACCTTAGGCAATCATCCTTGATTTGTCTTCATCCCCAATATCCAATCCATCAGCAATTTCTATTAGGTTTACCTATAAAACTTGCCAAGAATTGGACCACTTCTTACCACCACCACTCCAGTTCAAACCTCTGGGATCCCTTGCTTGGGAAACCACACACGCCTTGGATTAGTCTCCCTGCTTCTACTTTTGCCCTTCCACGATCTGTTCTCCACACAGCAGCCAGAGAAATCTTCACACAATCTAAGTTATGCCAAGTTGCTCCCTAATACACTTAGCATAATATCCCAGCTCCTGTGTGGTCCATCCCTGTTCGACTTATCTGACATCATGTCCTGTCATGTTCCCTGGGCCTGTACTGGCCTTCTGACTGTTGATTCAGCCTGTCGAGCTTATCCCCACATCAGAGCCTCTGAAATTGCTGTTCCTTCTGCCTAGCATGCTCTTGCCCCAGATTTCCATACAGCATACAGCTTTCTGCTTCCATTATTCACATCTTTGCTCAAATTTTGTTTTCTCACAAGGGCCTTCCCTGGACACCCTATCAAAAATAATAAACCTATCTCCAGCCTGTTAATCTTTTTTTATTTTTCTTATACTACTTATCACTATTTAAAATTATATTTAGGTACTTATTTGTTATCTGCTTCCCCTCTAGGCTTTCTGCTCTGCAAGGCCAGAGACGTTGTCTCTCTTCTTCATAGCTCGACCCCCACTGCGGAGAACAGTGCTCAGCACTTGCTAACATGGCAGAAACAAAGCTGTCTCCCTCAGTTCTCGTGGCAGCCCTCATTCTAGTTTGACTTCCTATGAAATTACTTTTCCTAGTTGTCTTGAAGGTCATGTTTTGCTTAAGATGTAGCTCCACCAAGCAGACAGCCCTATGTGGGGTTTGGAGGTGAGCAGTGAGAGGTGGTAGCCATAAGGAGGAACATCAGATCTGCGGGGGGCATGGTGGCAGAGGCATCTGGTTCTTCTGAGGCAGTTGCAGGGAAGTTTCTGGAATCCAGTGCCATGTGGCTATACAGTAGTACTTTGCAGAGCAGTTTAGTGGTGTGGTTAGGTGTGTCTCCTGGTTGCTCTGTGTAGCAGCCAAACCCAGTTTTCTGACTTTTCTTGAGATTCTTTATGTTTAATAAACCATGCTTCTTAAAATAGCTAGAGCAGATTTTCCAGTTTACAATTAAGAAATTTGACAAATATAAAATGTGCTCAACAAATTTTTGTTAAGTAAATCAATGAATGCATGAGAAGATTACTTAGTATGTCCTAGGAAGGCAGTATGAAGGTCATCAGCATGGAATGAGGTTTGAGAGAACCAAGTTTCAGTGTAATTGGAAAGGAGGTGGGGAATATGGCAGACCCAAGTCAGAGTGGCAAGAGATGCCAAGCAGAACTCTAGCCTCTAAGAACAAAGAGGACAGATTAAGTATCTGAAACAGGCAAGGTGTGCCCAAATACCCAAACAGGGGCTGGGCTGACAGTTGTGCAGACAGTGTGGCATTATTGCTTATAAATAATTTCTCTAAGTACTTTGAAGTTCTTATATAAAACAAATTCACTTTTTTTCCTGCTCTAGGAAACAATATTGATGTCTTTTCATTCAATGGCTTTATTGACAACTTAGAGAACCTAAAGGAGAATATGCTTATTAAACTTCTTGATGATATATATATATGTGTGTGTATGTGTGTGTGTATATATATATATATATATATATTTTTTTTTTTTTTTTGAGATGGAGGTTTCACTCTTGTTGCCCAGGCTGGAGTGTAATAGCACAACCTGGGCTCACTGGAACCTCTGCCTCCTGGATTCAAGCGATTCGCCAGCCTCAGCCTCCCGAGTAGCTGGGATTATAGGCATGCAGCACCATGCCCAACTAATTTTGTATTTTTAGTAGAGATGGAGTTTCACCATGTTGGCCAGGCTGATCTCAAACCCCTGACCTCAAGTGATCCACCCACCTTTGCCTCCTAAAGTGCTGGGATTACAGGCATCAGCCACCATGCCCAACCCCTGTTGATATTAAATTAAATCATGTGTTAGTAAACTTGCTTTTGGTTGCAAGAAACAGAAAATGTAACCCAAACTGGTTTTAATTATAAGGGAAATTTATTGGTTCATGTGATTGAAACAGGAAAGGCTTTAGATTAGAAGGAAACAAAAGATTAATGCTACTATCAAGGACTTAGTTTTTGCCTATATCTCAGCTATATCTTCCATGTGGTAGAAGTCAGTCTCTTCTTGCGGCCCCACAATGGTTGCCAAAAGCCCTGATGTTATATACTTCCTTATTCATAACTTAGGTGAGAAAGAATTCTTTTTCCCTAATCATTAAACAAAATTCCTGAGGTTCAGTAGGCATGAGCGTGGGTCCTGGGCCCATCCTTGAACTAATCACTGTAGCCAGGAGAAAGACAGTCTCCAATTCACTTAGATAAGTCAGGATCTACCTGGGGCGCTGGGACGGGCTCCTGGCCGAGCTTCTCATTGTTATGGACATTGCAGAGGCAATTCCTATGTCCTCTCTAGAAAGGGCTCTCTAAAGAATTAGAGATCAAACTGGAATTATGGATTAGAAAATATAGTCTCAAAAATGGAGAAAATGAAGGCAGTCATCTTAGGGAAATCTCTTAAATAAAGTGAGCTTCTTAAATAAAGTGAGCCTCAGTTCCCTCACTCGTAAAAGTGGTATTGGAATGTCTATCTCACAAAAATGTTTTAAAGATTAATAGAGATTATTTCTGGAATAGTTCTTAGTAAGCAAAAAAGCACTCAGTGATATGGAAGGAAATGTTCTTTATGAAACGTTTGAAGACTGATCTTCATCATATAAACACAGTCCTGGGCCGTTTCTTTAGAAGAGGACCGTGAGAAGGTACCTTATCAGCTCTCAAGGAGCTTGAGGAATACTATAAGCCCAGCCCACCTGGAGCAGATGTAAAACTTTGGAATGACCCAGAAATGGCAGGTATTCAGGAAAGAGGCAGAGGTAGATTATTCTTTGTGAGGCTGGTGTGAGTTCTTAAATTGGGCAGGAGCCAAATGATCTGAAAGGCACAGGAAAATGCGGTGGTCATAAAACCTGACTTTTTGGCCAGGAGCGGTGGCTCACACCTGTAATCCCAGCACTTTGGGAGGCTGAGGCGGGCGGATCACGAGGTCAGGAGATGGAGACCATCCTGGCTAACATGGTGAAACCCCATCTTTACCAAAAATACAAAAAATTAGCCAGGTGTGGTGGCTGGCGCCTGTAGTCCCAGCTACTCGGGAGGCTGAGGCAGGAGAATGGCAAGAACCCGGGAGATGGAGGTTGCAGTGAGCTGAGATCATGCCACTGCACCCCAGCCTGGGCGACAGAGTGAGACTCCGTCTCAAAAAAACAAACAAACAAACAAACAAACCTGACTTTTTTTATTGTTTCCTTCCATCTTAGATTGCATGTACAAATACAATGGTAAATATTCCTGAAGTTATTCTCTAACTGACAAGGAGTAGAACCTCACATTATGCTTAATAATATCTCCAAGTACCTAGAAACTGTGCTTGCAATCAATAATTCTATTTACTATTTAATGAGTTAAAGACTTTAAACAAAAAAGAGCTCAGAAGTGTTTGGAAAATTATCCTATGAAAATTGACAAAATTTGGAGTGTTACAATTGGCACTGACACCATTACTTTTTCTCCTAAACACAACACATTCAGTTGGAAACTAAATGGAAACTAAAACTCTGAGAAAGTCCCATTTATGTTGAATAAATGGCTGAAGGCAACTCTGATTCTGATTTCCATAGCAGTACAGAGCAAGCACTTCATTTCCAGTGGTTTCTCACTTGATGTTTGGGCTGATAGAGGCTGTGGGTCACACCGGGAGCACTCAGTGAGATTTAGGACAAGTATGTATGTCTCCCTTTTCCTCCCATGAACTCAATTTCTAAGGCCAAGATGTACCCTGTTATTGTGGCTTAAAATGTTTTTGAGGAAACTTTTTGGAAAAAGTACTGCATATACAAGGAGAACTCCAAAACCAACCATACTCTGGCAAAAAGAAAGTTATTTACTTGTGAACACAATAAAGTCCATTCAACTCAGAGAGGTTGCACCCTTTGAGCAGGTGTGAGGTCTCACAGTTATGGCCAAAAGAGTAATTATAATGCTGCATGGAATTTGTGGAACCAATGTAGGCTAATTAAGGTAAAGCAAGTTACCAAATGGTTTCCCATTCCATCTCTGTCTTATATATTGAAACCGAGAGAGGGGATAGGGATATAATTGATTACCAACACTCACATGGATTTCTATTATAGGTTTTAAATTACTATATTGCTAAGTATTTATTTGTATGCTTTGCTGTTCTGCTGGCTAACATGATAGTCCTGCCTACTTCTCAGTCATTCATTTATCCTCATTGTCTAACGTAACTCACAGCACCCAGTAAACATTCAATCACAATTTGTTGAATGAATGAATGAATGAAGCTAATTAAACTAAATTGTGTTACACTTCCAGTCTCATTAGTGCCATAATAAAGTACTACATAAAGAGAAATTGATTAACAAAAGTCCTTGAATTTTGTTATTCATTAAACATCTTCCCACTCTCTTTATTATTCTTATTCCTATGTACCGTTTGGTTTTCTCTTCTTTCTGTGTGAAATTCAAAAATTTCTCTTCTACCGACCTACTTGCTCTCTAGCAGCTACTCCTAGATTTACTCAGCCTAACATCTCCATGTTCACAGATGAGTTTTTCCATATTTATGTTCTTTCCTCTCCCACTAATCTCTTCTCTATTATCTTATGTTGAACCTTCTATTTTCCTGTGAAGACACTTGTGTATCAGTGTAAATGGCTAACAGCTGGAGTGATGCAGTGGGTGAAAATGAAACATCGGTTACAGAGACCAAGGGGCAATGACATGTGAATGTCATTGAGACTCTGAGCAAATTCATCCCCCTGGGCTGGAACTAAGAGCTGACAGGCTTGCAATTCCCACTGCCTGACATGCTCTGCCCCATCCTTGATTGGCTCGCCTCTATTCATTCCTCTGCGTGGTATCAGGCCCTAAGAAAACCATCTTCAACTCTCACCTCCTCAGTCTGAGTCAGATACCCTGCTACAAGCTCCTCTCACTCCTTTTACTTTCTCTTCACTGCTCTCACCTGGCTTACAGCCACATACTTAAAGATTACATCTTTAATTCATGTCTCCCTGCACTAGACCATGAGGTTTTTGGGGAAAGGACTGTTTCTATTTTGTTCACACTAGGCTCCAGTGCCTAGCACAGCCCTCAGCACATGGTAGGTCATTATAAATATTTGTTTGATAAATAACTTAATGATATAGAAAATCCAATGCCACATAGCCCCCAAGACTACTCACACGAGGCTGTCATTAAGAATTTTGAAGAGAAGAAATGTGAGGAGAGGAATAGTTTTAGTGACACATAGCAGTTTGCAAAGGCTTATAGAATTAAAAAAAAAAAAAGAATTAAGGGCAGAACATTTCTCTTGAGTGATTACAATTGGTGGGAAGTCTGATTCAACTGATGAACCTAATTTTGCATGAACAGATGGATATAATGGAAATTAAAACAGACAGTGCTACCATCCAAAACAAGCAGACACATTTCTTTGAAATAAAGCACTTTGAATACAGTCCATTATGTTTTCATATCAATGTTCTATAAGTGTTCTATTAAGTAAAAAGCTCTGTTAAGCATAAGTAGTGTGTAATATTTGAGCAGGAAAGAGCTTAGGAATGCTGACTCTTGTTAAAAACACTAGAATGATCTGAATACCAGGCAGGCCTTAATCTCTTGGTGCTGCCTGACTGGGATTCATCTGGTTGGAGTGTGGCCATGTGCACCTTGTTCAGATAGGGTCCCTTAGGTTTCTCTCCATCTGCGTTTTTAGCCAATGTGATGATTACATAGCATTTAACATCGAGGCAACATCAGTCTCAGAAGGATTCATTAAGCAGTTAAAAAAAGGTTTTATTTTTTTCCCCTCTAATCTTTTAGCTGCAACATTTGTTAACAAGTCCTTCTGCCTCACAAGACTCTGTACTTCTCCACTCCAATTTTTGATCATGTTTCTTATTTTTTATTTTATTATTTTTTTTTAGAATTTGGAAGTAGTTGCCATCTTTAACATTCATCTCACAGCCCTTATACTCAAAAAGCTAAATGGAACTTGAGAAATCATCTAATTCAATCCACTCATTTTAGAGATGAATTTTTTTTTCTGAAAGATTTATTTAGCTAAATTCAGATGAATGTTCTCTCCCCTGGCATTAAATTCAGAAATTAAAAATAGAGCACATACTGGGGTAGATTGTAATCAGCCTGGGGTAGAAGTAGGAAGGGAAAGCTACAAGGCTAACAGAACCATCATGGGGTCAAAATTACCAACTAAATGAAGTCTCCCCAAACAGAAAACATGTCGGTTATCTCAAAGTCATGTTCCCATCGTTAATCTACTAGCCTGAAAACAGGCAAAAGGAAGCCATTTGTAACCTCTATTTACACCAACTACTAAATTTTACAATAAAGCAGTAAGACAAAAAGTGAAAAAAGGTATAGGCTGTGAAGCCAAGTAAATCTAGGTTCTAATCTTCACCCTCCCCTAGCTGGGTAATCTTGTGGGAAGGCCTTTGGAAGACTTGAATTTTAAAATCTGTAAGAGGGGGATAGTAACTAACACCTACAATGTAGGGCTGTTGTGACGTTTCAATAAAATGGTATACACAAAATGCTAGTAGATCTACCAATGTTTCTGGCAGCATTATTCACAATAGCCAAAAGGTAGAAACAATGCAAATACCCATCAAGAGATGAATGTATAAACAGCATGTGACGCAGACATACAATTGGATATTGTTCAATTTGAAAAAGGAAGAAATTCTGATACATGCTACAATATGGATGAATCTTGAAAACATTATGCTAAGTGAAATAAACCAGACACAAAAGGACAGATGTTGCATAATTCCACTTACACGAGGCACCTGAAATAGGCAAATTCATAGAGACAGAAAGTAGAGTAGAGATGACCAGGGACTAGAGTATAGGGGAATGGGGATATTCTGTCTGATATTATAAAAGACTTTCAGAAATGGATAGTGCCAATGGTTATACAACTTTATGAATGTACTTAATGCCATTGAGTTGTACACTTAAAAATGATTAAAATGGCAAATTTTATGTTATATATATTTCATCATAATAAAAAAAATTCTAATAGAATGCCTGATACATAGTATGTGGTCAACACATGGTAGCTATAGTTATTAATACATCCCACTCTGCCCATTTTACCTGTTCTAAGTAATGTAGTGACAAGTTGATATACTTGGCCTCTGTTAGAAGATGGCCCCCTACTCCAGTCTTTGCAACTCGCTCTGAACCAGCCAGGTCAACCAGATGGAGTTTGGCATGTCGTACAGTTGCAGATCCTGGTTCCTTGCTTGACAAATGAATGGTGAAAATGCAGTGGGAACGGGTTGAAGCTTGGTTCATAGGAGTCTATAAAAAAATTGCAAAACAAAAATTATTTGAACAATGAAAATTTTTAAAGAATATCAAAAGATTTAAAATAATATTTCTAGTGATAAGACATTTCCCATGAAGCCAACTGTCAACTGGAGCAAAACCACTTGTAACTGAGACCTTTAAAGTAAGTTCTTTTTAATGTATTACCTCTTGGATTACTGATGACAAATGTGGATGGGTTGATTCAGAAAGTGAGAAAAGAGTTCTAATGAGGTATAGATCAAGTCCTCTTGCCAATATAACTTTATTTCATTACCTGTCTATAATCCATGCATTAACCTTGGCTTAATGCTTGAAAATGCTTAATGTTAATCTCATGGGAAAAGAGGTGAGAATGTGTGTATCAGAAAAATTCATGATCACAATTGTAAACAAAAGCCACAGACAAAGAAACCTACCATCACTGTTACTACTCAACACTAAAGTGGAGGCCCTAGACAATACAATAAACAAGAAAAAGAAATAGAAGGCATAATAGTAGGAAAAGAAGAAATTAAAAATGTCACTATGTACAAAAAAATATGGTGGTCTACATAGAAAATGCAAGAGCATCTCCAAACAAATGGCTTAAGAACTAAAAAGTTTAGCATGGTTGCTGGATATGAGATGAATATATAAAATCAATGAGGTTCTAATAACTCAGAGCAATGATTAATCAGAAAATATAATATTATTCACAATGGCAAGAAAGACAATGAAATAATAAGGGATGAATTTTCTAAAGGATATGTAATTTATAGGAAAAATGGTAAGATAATATTAAAGGACAAAGAGAACTGGAGTAAATGGTGTGCAGGATATTAATGCACCATTTCATAGATGGGAAAACTCAAAATTAATCTATATGTAAATGTCTATATATTAACCTATATATTCAATGCAATTGAAATAAAAATGCTACAGGTTTTGTTTACAGAAAAAGACAAATTGATCCTAAATGGCATACAGGAAAGAAATCTTCAAATAAAATGAAAAGTAATGCTGTTTGCACTTCCTTACTAAAGTTGCTCCATCAAAAAATAAAAAGAAACAAATGAAAAGTAATTCTGTGAAAGAATAACAATAAAAGGGGACTTTCCTGCCATTTATCAAGGTATACCACAAAGCTACAGTAATTAGAACAGTGTGGTGCTGGTGCTGGTGCAGGAGCAGACAGCTAGGTCAGTGAGACATGCTGTGCTCACTGAGGAGCTCTGTATGGGACAGATGTGACATCATACCACAGCAAAGAAAGGATGCACTGATTTAGTAAAAGGTGCTGGAATAACCAACTATCCATCTTGAAAAAAATAAACTTAGATTGCTTCCTTACACAATGCACACAAAGAAATTCCAGAATAGATTAAAGCTTTAAGTGTGAAATAACACAACTTTAGCACCAATACCATAAAACATGGAAGCATATTGTAATCAACCCAAGGAGGTAATGGATACTTTAAGATATAAAACACAAAAATAAATTGATTTAAAATATTTGACCAAGATAATCCAAAATGTAAAAACTTCAGTGTGATAAAATCCATCATAAAATTAAAGCACTAGAAGATATTTGCAATACATATGGCTGACAAAACATTAATAATAAATAAAGGACTCGGCCGGGTGTGGTGGCTCACGTCTGTAATCCCAACACTTTGGGAGGCTGAGGTAGATAGATCACTTGAGGTCAGGAGTTTGAGACCAGCCTGACCAAAATGGTGAAACCCCGTGTGTACTAAAAATACAAAACAAAACAAAACAAAACAAAAAACAAACCAGGATTGGTGGGGCATGCCTGTAATCCCAGCTACTTGGGAGGCTGAGGCAGGAGAATACCTTGAACCCCGGAGGCAGAGGTTGCAGTGAGCCAAGATAATGCCACTGCATTCCAGCGTGGGTGGCAGAGTGAGACTCCATCTCAAAAATAAATAAATAAATACATAAATAAAATAAAGAACTCTTGCAAATCAGTGAGAAAAAGTAAGCAAAGAATATGACTAGGTAACTCATAAGGAAGAAATCTGGAAATGGTTAATGAATATTTGATAAAATGCTCAAATTTATACATAATCAGAACCACATAACTTAGAACCATAAGGTTTAAAAAATAAAGTCTAACAAAATAAGTGTTGTTGGAGATATAAGGAAATGGGAAATTTTGTGTACTGCTTGTGGAAATATAAATTAAGAATAAATTTTGAGAGCAATCTGATAATATGTGGCGAAGTTCCAAATACATATAACACACAGCCATCAATAAACTACTAGATATATTTCCTAGAGAGAAATCTTGGGCAGGTATACATATATATGTGTGTGTGTGTGTGTGTGTGTGTGTGTATCTATATATCTATATATCTATATATGCGCAATATGCGATAAGGACATATATATGTGGACATTCACTGCAACATTATTAGGGTTAGCAAGAAATTGGTGCAAGACGCACAACCTAAGTAGACATCTGTGGCAGAAAAGATTAGTAAACTGAGATAATTCAAATTACAGAGATGTTAAAATAAAGCAACTTGGGATAGATTGACATAAATGGATTTCTAAAATAGAATGCTGGGAAAAAATAGCAAGTTAAATAATGATATGAACATTATGATAGAATTTACATAATTAAAAAAGCAATATTATCTATTGTTCATGAAGCTATAACTTAGGTCATTAAGTATAAAAACATGGACCAGAAGCATACGGCAAATTAATGATAGCAGTTGTGTTTGTGAGGGATGGAAATGAAAGGCCAAGAAAGGGACTTCAGCTTTATCTGCAATATTCTATTTCATTTAGTTAAAAATTATTAGAAGCAAATCCTGGATTGGAAAACATGGATGTTGGTTACATTATTCTCTGTACTTTTTTGTGTTTTACATTTTTTGGAACAAGAAAGAAATTAATCTGATTCAAGATACAAGTGACAAGTTAGTAGTATCATCCTCTCAACAAAAAAACTAAAAATATTCCAAATGAGTATTCATATGAGTAAATATGTTCAGATCTCCACCTTTGCAAAATGAGATTTAAACAAAGAATTTCAATATGGATGCACATGTGTGCAGACAGAGTAACACATTTGAATGGCAATTCAACCAGAAATTCTTTCTGTAAATATAAATTCTTGATATACACCAGAGTTGATTTACACCAACTAGCAAAATAAAAAGATGTCAAAATGCTGGCATAGTTTTGGTGATGATGATGTAGCTAGTGAGTCAAACAGGCTGAAAATTTGACCCATTACTTGTTGCCACAATAACTATGCCCAAACCTGGCCAGTGTGTGATTTTGCCTGCTAAAGTGGATCAGCAAATAACTGTGCATGTAAAACCGCAAACTCAAATTTAGAACCTAAGTTGAGGTGTTTTGGAAGTGACTGTAAGTTATTTGCAGAACTTAAACATGGGTTTCATTTCACTGTGATAGTCGCACAACAATAAATCCTACAATACTGTAACAAAAGTCAAACTGACAATCAATATAAACAAATAACATGGAGACTTCTCAACAGCTGTCTTTAGCTTCGAAACTGATATTCTGAAACCACCATAAAATGTGAGCCATAAACGAATACTGGTAGAGTGTACCCATTTCAAAGGAATATGAGATTCACATAAACTAAAATTGTATATTCTGGAGTCTGTAATTAAAATGCAGTAATATGCTGTAGGAGTCCGTGCCTACAGTTTTGTAACTTCTCATAAATATTTTCTGCATGAAGTAGCAGTTGGTGTCCTCTTAGATAAAAATTTCTTAAACCTCAGAAAACATTCTTTATGTGGAGCTTTTTAAGTGTTATTGGATGTGCTGTGTCTGCTCTGTGTTTATTTAAGGATGTCTTTATGTCTCATAGGCATGGCCCTATGTTTGTCCTTTTAAAGGTAAAATTGTATTAAAATGTTTCTGAAACTGCCTAAGAACAGATGGCACCATTTAGGCAGATTCATTCAAAGTTAAGCACACATTTTAAACAAATGTGCTTTTGGCACTAGCGACTGTGCCTTTGGAAAAATTTTAGTGATGATTAATCACCTGCATGCAGAGAGCTTTCACGTTTCCTATTAGCCTATGTATATCACTGTGTTAGGCAGTACAGAGACAAGAAGGAAAATAAGACCTGGATGTTGCCCTCAAGGAACTTACAATCTAGTCAGGATCTAAAGCCACAATGTGTGAAATGAGAATGAGCATGAAATGAGAAAAGCAAAATGTGCAGTAAAGAAAGTGATCTGTTCTTAGCAATGAACATGCTGATCCTCTAGGTAATATCTGAAAATGCTAGCCATTCCCTCATTCTAGGAGCTCGCCACCCTCTGCCCACCACCTGGTTTCCAGTGCCAAATACTCTCCAGTCACTTTCTCCTTCTCTATCGCTTTTTCCTTTACTCTGCTCTCTTCTTTGCAGTCCCTAAAAATAGGTGTGTCCTAAGCTATGGTGACCATATTTCCTCCCCTTGGAAACTCATCTTCTACAGCTCAAATCCTCATTGCATAGGCTCTGTAGTGTAATAAAAATCACACACCAAAAATCTCAGAATTTGGTGTCAGATAACCTGGTTTCAAGTCCTGGTTCTGTCACTTACTAGTGTTAAAAGCTTACTAGTGTTATAAGCAAATTTACATGAAGTAATTTTGATTTTCATGTTTCTAGAATGCCATATTAAGACCTGCTTCATTGCAGGGAGTTATATTAAATACCAACTGAATTACTGAGTGCTGAAGTGATCTGGGAAGTGTAAAAGGTCATATTAACGTCGCTGTTGATATTCACTTTATTCAGATGCCTCCTGTATCCTTATCTCTTACCTCAATTGTTCTGTATAGCAGATTGGAATGTCCAGCAGTTTGACTGATCATTGTCATTAAAATGTCTTACCAGCATCTTGTACATAATGTTCCCAAAACAACTGTATCTCCTTCCCTCCCTCTGTGTCCCATGGATGGATATCCAACCCATCCTACTCCTGCTGGATTTCTTTCCACTTATCTGTATCTCCCCCAGTAGCCAAATATCCTTTATCTCTCACTTGGGTTACTGTAGTCTCTCCCTTCTAGTCTCAGTATTTACTCTTGTCCCTTCCAATTGTTCTCCATCTCTCAGACAAAGTAGTATTGTTAAAAGGCATATTTGATTAATGCCAATCCTATCTACATCACTGAATTAAACTAGCATGCTCCCTAAGACTAAATATCTCTCTTCCTCTCAACTGGGCCTTATGCAACTGTTTATCAAAATCCTTTTTAAATATGGTACTCTGGCACTTGAATTGAATATATTATTATTTCAAAAGTAGCCTAACCACAGCAGAGGACATTGGATGTATTACTTCCTGGAACCTGGACAATCTAAATCTAATATTGCCAGTAAATAGCACATCACATGAAGTGTTACTATACCGGATTTGCTCCAGCCCTTACATGCTATGGAATTTCTTTGGGACACACACACACACACACACACACACACACACACATTAGTTTATTTCATGACTGCATTTGATTAGTTTTTATGTCAACATTACAATCTATTGGATCTTGGTCTTTTTGTCAATTTTGTGCTATCTACAAATGAAAATATCTTGTATATTCTCATCCAAACAATGTGTAAGACATGAAGCAGTGGGGCAGACCAACAACATTCCCAGAAGACCACCTCTGCTCTCCACCCGGTTAGGTAACTGTTACAGGTATTCTACAATTGACTTCAATCCAAGTACTTTTATTACCTTCAATTTCTCTTTATATCCCCAAGGATATTTTGAGAGATAAAAAAAGAATTGATTTGATCTATAAAATTTTAAATGCTATCAGAAAAGTGAATGAAATTAGTTTAAGGTAAAATCAATGCTGACTTTTTCTTAATAGCTTACTGACCATTATTTAATAATCCTTTATCAGTTTCTTTTTTAGGGCTTGTATCAAAAATATTAGCTTGTTATCTTCCATATATGTTTTCTTTTTCGGAAAATGGAGAATAGACTTTCTTTTATGGGGTGAAAATTGAAAAACCTAGGCTCACTGGACTCCTTACAGAGTCATCATATCTGCAGTCTATGGTTAAAGAAAGTTATTTTTCCTCTTTCTTATCTCCAGTGTAGCAAAACTTTACTTCTCACTGAAGTTCCATTCATCTGAAAGATTACTTCCTACAAAGCCTCTCCATTTCCCTCTTCCTCCCTCCTAGACTTCAAGCTCCTTGAGGACAGGGACTGTGTCTTATGCGTCATTGCCTAGCATAACACAGTAGTGTTAAAAATGTTTGTTAATTTGTTGACTCTTGCTCATTTCTTGTGTTCTGGAATCTCTACAGCATGCTCCATAATTTCTAAAAATCTTCAAATAATTCTGTGACTACATCTGCAAGCTTTTTAAGTCCATGGAATATAGTTCATTTGAGTCTAAAAATTAGAACTATTTGAAACAGCTAGATTAACTCAAATCTCCCTATCAGTCTTGGGCTTCAGTTATTTGCTGTGCGTGATTCCAGAGCTCTTAATCACTACTCTCTACATCTTCAATTGCCTTTTCTCCTGTCTAGAATGTCCTCTAGCTTATCACTCAAGTATACCCTTTTCCTACTCCCCAAATAAGCCTACTCAAAATTCATTTATCTTCATGAATTCCCTGGAACTATCCCCAATTGGCATTAGCCATTGTGTTCAGAAAAGACATTTAACATTTGCGCATATAGACAGTCATTAATATCCAAACCCTGGAACAATCCAAAAAATTGTTGTTCCAAATGGAGTTTCAAATGTTCATAAAAAAATCCATTTGGAACATTGTTTAAATAGTGTTATTGTAATGAACTGTTTGTTCTAGTGCGTAGTGAAGTAGTGGTGTGATCCACTGGGCTACAAGTGAGTGTTTGGCGTCCTGCTCATTTTGTGGCAGTGTAAACAGAATGGTGCAGATTGTAAAAAGTGACTCAAAAATGACCCTGTCAGACAATGGTGGCTTCAAAATGTTCATATAGAAGGGGCTTGGAGCAGCAATGTGACTGTGGAGGCAGGGGTTGATGCTGCTTTGTTAGGACACTTTACATAACATCAAATGCCTGGATTGAGGCCAGGAGAGAGGTGCTAAGGCCCCTTCTACTGCCCTTTATTCCTCTCCCTGGCACTGATTCAGCTACCACTCTCAGAAGCTATTTCATATGGTAAAAAACCTCAAATCTCATTGAATAATAATCCTTTTCTATACAGCAGGAGATACCTGTCTGCTGAAAGAGAAATTTGAAAATAAATGGTGATGCATTTTTTTTTTGTGGGGGGTGTGTGTGTGTGCGTGTGTGTCCAGCCATTTTTAGTAATGATAATTCTGATTTGGGGGCAAAAAAGAATTTTTTTCTTTTTTCTCTTCCTATTCAATAAGTGAAATATAATTTCTTGAGGTTTACATAATATGCTCTTGTGGATGTTTGTAAAATTAATTTTTTTCTGCTTTTAGTTAAACTAATGTTTTCAATCACTTCAAAAATGATTATAGACAGTTAATGCAGCCTTCAATGATTCAAATAACCTCTGTATATCATATTAAAAATTTTCTAGGGTACCACTTACTTATTTCTTGCCATAACTTATACCTTTTATTCCATTCCTGTGTACCAAAATCTTTTTTTCAATCACTTTGTTATCTTGGAGTAAAATATCTCGACAGGAATTTCCACTAATCTAGAATAGATCAAATAAAGGAAATCTCTTTTCGATTGAACAGGACATTATAAAGCATATGCCTGAGACTCCTTAAAACAAACCAACTAAGAACAACAATAGCAACCACAGGATCTAGAATTCAGCTTTCCACTTCAGTTCTCCTTGTCTGATAACACTTTCTACACTGATACTCTAATTGATCTGTTCCTCTGCTCACTTGCTCTATCTGAGTTGAAGACTGAAAATGCTAACTTCCATGTGGTTTTCTAAATGTTTTCTGGGTTGGCATCTTGGCCTTTCAGGTTAAACCTCACCCTTAATGAAGAATTACCGAATCTGTTACCTATTGGTTAAGTGATTCTTTATATAGTTCTTCCCATATTAAATGAATTGAATTAGGAAGCTTGCTATGCCCTTGATGTACTCTAACTCAGCCTGGAAAAGTGAGACCTGACCAAACCTAGTGGTTTAGCACGTGACCCTACAAACACCTACCTTGAACTTTTCTGGAGTTGTTTCAGAACACACTGCCTAGCAACAAAATATTCCTGAGTGGATATTCCTCTACTGGAATTAATGATCCTAAACTTCTCATTTTTCTTTCTGACTTTTCTGTTTATAAGATACCTGGCTTTTAGGAAAGTAGTCAAAATGATTTTCCCCAGTTGCAGGATTCTAGGTCTTTTTCTTATCCAGCATGTTGTCAAAGTAGTTTTGTAAAAGAGAAATAGACTAGACACACCAATTTTATTTAAAATTTAAAAACAAACTTTGGAGCAATCTGGAACATATAATAAGAATGTTCTAATAATTATGATTCACCTTTATGATAAGAATAGGTCTAGTATGTTTTATTGTGTATCCCTCCTAACAAGTCTGGAATCAATTTGATGGATTTTTGACTTTTACATCCTCAAAGATCTATTGGCCGACTCAAAAATTTTGGGAAAACAAAGTCAGAATTAGTGGTTCTGTTGAAGTTTCCTCTGTGGATGTCAGGATTTGGATTACTTCCCTAAGGGTCATTTCTCCAGGATTTGGCAAATTAAAGTCAAACACATTTATATCAAAATCTAAGTCGGCTAAATTGTGGTACATATGGGAAACTGAGAAGGAATTTTGCCTGTATCTTTAATTGGAACTACATTCAATTATCATTCTTACACATCATTCTTGAGCTAGATAGCATCATATCCTCCACAAGCATTAAGGTTTGCTCTCTGAACAATGAAAATTATATAACCCAAAATGTCTGCCCAACCCCCTGCTGTATTTTTCACTTGATTGCAAAAAGAATTATAAGCTAAATTTAGCCATCAAAACAGTAACTTATCATAATTGTCTACTCTGTCCATTTTTCATCTTTTAAATTGAGTTTGAATTTTTTTCTTTTTTCTCTTCCTATTAAAATTCAGCCTTCGCTTAAAAATTTCCAAGTCTGACTATTCACATAAGTGGAATAATAATATTATGGGGCTAAAAGAACTAACAATCCTAAGAATTTTAGCAGTTTATTCAAACTGTCTTTTTTATACATACTACATACCTTGGGATTATAGACAAGCTGAAATTACCTTTTACTATCCTGTGTATAAACAATTAAGACACAGGTAATGATAACACACCAAGGAGAATTTAGATATCCATTTGTATCATTTTGTTCTAATGAAAAAAAATATATACTGTGAAACTTTATTGGGATAGCACTCAATGCAATCTTCGAGTTTGGACATCAAGATCAGTAACAGACATAAATTTTAGGACAATGTCACTCAGAGTACAGATGCCGAAGAAAGAACTCTAGAAGCACAGATGTCCAGTGGTAGGCATAACAACCTATTTTATTTTCACTTATAGTTGACTTGTATTTTCTGACTAGATGCCCTTAAGTCTCTTTCTTTAGCTTTGTAATTTAGTAACTTCAATAGAGGATGTCTTGGAATTGAGCTCTTCCAATTTTTTCTTTGAGCTCTTCCAATTTTTTCAGTTACGTCCTTTTCATCTGCAGATTCAAGTAATTCCAAGTTTCAGAAAACTTTTCTCTAGTTTTTCTGTTGCCTTTGTTCCCTCCCCTTCTTCAGGATTTCTAACTATGCATAATTGGATGCTCCTTTGTCTCTCTTTCTAGATACACCTTCTCTCATTAATTTTTATATACTTAGTTATTTTTCAGTCACGTTTCTTCCTCTTCTTTTTCCCTCCTCCTCCTTCTCCTATATCTTCTCTTCCTCTTCTTCTTCTTCCTTTCTATTCACTTCTAATGGCACTTTAATCTCTTTAATGGCTTTTTCTCTTTCATTTATTTTCTGAAGTTTTTCAAGTTTGCTTTTCTTTGTCTTGTAATCTTTTTCTTTGGGCTCTTCTATAATATTAAGCTATTTTTTAAAAAACAAAGATTGTCTTTAAATAACATACTTAAGATTATGAAGAACAAGCCCTGTGCTCTCTGATTTAATCAGCCTTCAGATGTATGTTCCTTAGCCCTGACACCTACTCCATATATATAAATAGGTTGTGGGATGTTTTCTTTCTGATAATTTTATCTTTGAACATGACTATCCCTTTCCTAAAGAGTAGCCTAGAGGATAGGTGAGGAAATATTCATATTGGGTTTACATCCTGAATACTTTTACATTACATCTGTTATGTCTTTAGCCTCAAGAGCATAAACTTTCCTCAATATTTCACATGAATAGGTCTGGGATGGCTCACAGTTAAGTCCCTTAAATAACAAACTCCCTGAACCCCACTCACCAAAGGCCATCTTCTTTGGCATGAGCCTACATCACTGATCATAAAAATGGCTTGTATTTAAGGTTTCTTCTTTGGATCCACCTTCTATAGTTAGAATGAATATCTATATAACATTCCCAGAGTCTTCCTCCATACTTGCCTGTGTTTCAGATCTCATCACTCTAACCAAAAGATCATTGGATTTGCATTTGAGAATTGTGACCCTTTCTTTAAAGGGAAACTCTATCCTGCCTGAGGTTGGAGGACATATGAGTTGGCTCTCAGCACCCTCTCTCACCATAAGTCAAATTCATAGTATTTGGCAGGTTTTCTCATAGTTTGAGGTTATGGCTATTTCCTTGTTTCACTGAAGATGGCTTTTTTCTCCTCTCTTTCATTTTTTGTTGCTGTTGTTGGTGAATGTCAATAATACTGAATAGAGTAAAAGTGACTTTCATATGCTATGTTTAATTCGAGATGAGAACTTTAAAGATCAGAAGAAACTCTGGGACTAAATTTTATAGCCAAAAGACTATTCTTTTAATAATGTATATGGAGTATATAAATCTTAAAATTCTAATAATAGCTGTTCCATACCACTCATTTATTTTAATCGATGTTTTAGAACAAATCTCATGGTTCATGTAATACCATTAAATCAGGTTAGATCAGAATGCAAACTGTGTTATAACACAGAAGTGCTATTTAAAGAACACTGTATATTTCTCATGTATTTCATATATAAAATATAAGAACAAGAAAGAAATGCTTGTCATATAGTAAGTGCTCAAAATTAAAGTTTCTTTTCTTCTATACCTAGTAGGTATGTATAATAGATAAGAAAAGAGGTTAGAATTGTCAATATATCTTTTACTAAGGCTTCTAGCTACTTATCAGGGCCTAATAAGAAGAAAATGCTATTCTTATTTATTTATTTATTTATTTATTTGAGGTGGAGTCGCACTATGTTACCCAGGCTGGCCTCAAACTCCTGGGCTCAAGCAATCCTCCTGCCTCAGCCTTCTGAGCAGCTAGGATTAAAGGTGAGAGCCACTGCGCCCTGCTAAACATGCTATTCTTACTGTAATAAGATCAAGGCCAAAATATAGTTTGCCTGTTGTATATTTTGCTCTAACCAGGTTCACAAATTTTATAACAAACTTGCTAATTATATATAACTAACATATCTTTCAAACAAAAATTTGTGAGGATGTGTTAGTCAGTATCCCTTTAATGATTTTGGAACTAATTGAAACCAAAATCCTCTTGTTTTCCACACACATCCCACAAGGAGATTGGGGCTTAAAGTTGTGTTAACAAACACAATCACACAATAAAGCTACTCCTTCCTTCCTGCCCTATCCTTATGTTATTAGACAACACGTCCAAGAACAGCTGTTCCTATAACTCACATAAACCTATTAACCCCAACTCACACCCTGTCTCCCAATTATTTGCACTTCCACAAGGTCATACAACTTACTCCAAAAGTTTGCTAATGTGCAAAGCCTGAGAGCTTACAAAGCACATCAGCATAACTCAGATAAATCTAGTACACATGCTCCACGGTTTATGACATGGGGTTATGTTCCCACAAACCCATCATAAATGGAAAATACCATAAGTTGAAAATGCATTTAATACACCTAACCTACTGAACATCATACCTTAGCCTAGCCTACCTTCAACGTGCGCAGAACACTTATATTAGCCTACAGTTGGGCAAAATCATCTTGCACAAACCTTATTTTATAATGAAGTGTTGAATATCTCATATAATTTATTGAAGACTGTACTGAAAGTGAAAAACAGAATCATTGTATGACAACTTGAAGTACAGTTTCTACTGCATGCATATCACTTTCGCACCATTTAAAGCTGAAAAATTGTAAGTTGGGGAGTGTCTGTATGTCTTTTATTTCAAGCAAAGAATTAGGTATAAAGACCTCTAATCCCTCTTGGGGAAATTATTTATAAATCCCATAAACTTTGTTGATAGGCTAATTATTTGGAAAGTAACCTCTTTCAAAAGATTTGAAGTATCACACACACACACAAAATGTTGAAGTCATCTGTGATGTTCTCAGTACTCACTAATAGGCACAGTGTACCATAAAATCACTTTCAATTCTGGGCCTGACATTGGAGGTCTTATTGCCTGAAATCACCAGGTCTTCCTCTCTCATGAATTCCACAAAACAGTTAATCAGTAACTGATGACCTACTAGTTGCCAGGTGCTGAGAGAATAGAGATGAACAAGACGAAAGTCTTGTCTTTAAATAGTTGCCAGCTAAGAACTCCAGGGCCTGTCCAAATGTTATTTAATTCAATTGTTTCTATATCCCTAGAAGGTGGGTATTATTATGCCCATTTTACAGGTTAGAAAGTACAGTTTAGACCAGTTAAGTGACTTGTCCAAGGACACACACTTGGCAAAGGGTGGAGCCAGGGGTAGAAAAGAAGGTCTCCAAAGCTCATGCTCTTCAGCACTACTTGGCGGGGATGGCAGGAGATGGTGAAGAAACCACAGAGTAGAACCAACACTGACTGGAGGAAGTCACCTGACCATTCACGTGGGAAAGGAAGCCAGGCGGAAAGAAAGCAAGCTGCCCACCCAGGGGACCCCGGACTTTCCCAAAGTCGGCACCGAGTGTTCCTTTCTCACCAAAGGTCCCCTGCAAGCAGTTTCACAGCAAATGTTTTATACCAGATACAGCATATTATTGCTCCAGAATCCATCCAGGTCAATAACTACACCAGGTAATACCTATATAAGAAATTATATGCTAGACCACTCGGACACAGTATTCACTTCCTACAGCTGCCAGTACACAGTACAACAAACTGCTGAATAGGATGAAGTTCCAGCCCTCATGGGGTCAACGGATCAATCAGACCTAACCTAACACTTCAAGAGAGAAACAAACAGAAGACATGAACAAAAACAGAAATGCAAATGGCCAACGAAGATATAAAAGTATTTGGTAATCAAAATGCAAATTAAAACAAGATTTCTTTTTTTGTCTACCAAATTGGCAGAATTTTCAAATGTTGTGGTGTTGACAAGGGTGCAGAATATAGACCTGCTTGGTTTTTTTTGCCTCTGGGAGTGGGTTTCAACCAGCTTTCTTAAGGGTAAAGCCCAGACTGCTCCCAAATTTAGCCTGAGCACATTTAAAATGCTACAATGCACATTCCTGGGCTCCACATGGAAGAGATTCTGAATCCATCAACCAGAAATGTAATCCAAGAAACTGCATCATTTAATTATCACAGGGTATTCTAACACAGGTTTTCCTAGGACCATACTTGGGCACAGAGTGCCCTAGACCATGGGTAGGACTATGCCTTCAAGGTAGGGGCAAATGGTCCTATCTATGGCACTATGCATGGCCTGATCATTGAATGCAGGCTGCTTTCTTCAGTTAGATTTGATGACTTGATAGAAATATTTCAGCTATAAGACAAAAAAAGTATCAAGTTATACTTGCGACTGGTGGACTTGGATGCTGGGTCACACACAGTTCAGCTTTTATAATATTTATTCTCTTTGGCCCAGCAGTTCAACTTAAAAAAAAATTTATCCTAGGGACATAATCAAGTTTTATTCAAAACATTGGTAGGATTGCTGAAATTACTTAAGAGTTCTGAATAAATAAGAAGAGGCTGAAGCTACTCTTAATAACTTTTCCTTAAAATGCTGGCTATGGGTAAAGAACATGAAAGGAAAGAGCACTCCACTTTGTGTCCCACATATTCAGACTTTGTTTTGCAAATGTTTTCTGGTTACCAAGGCAACTTCTGGATTCCTCTGTGTAAATGGGAAATTGGGAACTTCGTTTTTTAAAAAAATGATTCGTTTGTTCTTTTTATCCTGGTAAGATCGTTCTGTGCTGACAAATTGCATTCTGACAGGTTGTAATCCAAAACATGCTTTTTTAGAAGACTGTGAATAATAAGGAATTTCTAGTGGTTGACAGTTACTTGTCATTTATATTTTTATGTATTTGCTTTCATTGCTTTCAAGGTATAAACTAAGGTGCTAAATATTGGGTATACTTTTAAAATAATTTAGAAATATATATATAACATGTCTACAACAATGGAAAGACTTACACTAAGCAGGCTGTCATTGTAACATGGTAATTATTATTACCAAAGAAAAGACAAAAGCAAGCACAGAAGCAACCAAAACCTATTAGACTTGGTTTTTTAAATAAAACAGGCTTTACATAGGAAAAATAAACAAATTAAACAAAAATTAATGCACAACCAGCATTATTAGGATTAGCCTTCTTCAGGTTTCAGCTATTTATAATATTAAACACTCATCAGTAAGTAATAGGAAAAGACCTGGAATTCTGGCTGGGCGCGGTGGCTCACACCTGTAATTCCAGCATTTGGGAGGCTGAGGTGGTCAGGCCACTTGAGGCCAGGAGTTCCAGACCAGCCTGGCTAACATGGCGAAACCCTGTCTCTACCAAAAATGCAAAAGAATTAGCCAGGTGTGGTGGCGCATGACTGCAGTCCCAGCTACTTGGCAGGCTGAGGCACAAGAATGGCTTGAACCCGGGAGATGGAGGTTTCAGTGAGCCATCACACACACCATGGCACTCCAGCTTAGGCAACAGAGTGAGACTGTCTCAAAAAATAAAAAATTAAAAAGAAAAATTTTAAAAAAGACTTGGAATTTTGTAAGGTGGTAAGACAGGTAAGTTTCACAAAGGAATTTCCTTAAAACTTTGCAAAACCCCAGCCTGAAACCATGTAGTTAAAGTTCATGCATAACTTTGAAAGAGCAAATGGCCAAGCTTTTAAGCTACTGGAGATCATGGTGGAACAGGTTAAGGGCCTTTCCATAACCCACTGAAGGTGAGGGAAAGTAATTGGCAAGGATGAGGCCTGTACTTCTCTAGGGATGGATCGCCTCCGAAAGAAAGTCAGTTAGCACTGAGGCGGCAACAGGCTCCTCTACTTGTTTTCCTTATAGAAGTTTATGAATCTATCTTTTCTCTTTTTCATAAGCATTGGTGGACAGGACCCATTTCTATTCTGTATCTCCTCGTTTGCTGTTTATTAAACTATATATGGAGGAACAGGATTTAGTGGAGCATGCTAAATCCTTTGTCATCATACGCCCAAATTCTTACTCAACCTTTATTCCTTAATCTTCGATTATTATGACAAATAAGAGCATCACAAAGATCAAATGGGCAAAATGTTGGAGTACTGAGCACAAATACAAATTTGTAAAGCAAAACAAAATATTCTGAGATTTAAAACTACGTGAATGTTGTTTCAAATAAAAGTAAAAATTTAAGCGACCTTAAATCCATATATATGGCACATAAACTCAACCTATATAAGTTAGCTAGTCTATTGAAAAGTATTGATGCAAAACTGGTAAACAACTGTGACAAAAACAAAAACTAAGGGCCCAAAATAATAACAGATATCAATACGATGCTTTCAGTATCTGAATTTGGTTTGCATTGGTCTATCTTGCGTCTAAGGCAGGGCATTCTAGAGGGCAGACATGGGGCTGAATAAAAGGTCCCTTGACGGAGATTTTTCTCGGACTACTTATGCTTTCAGCTTACTATGCCTACCTAATACTTGTTATCAGAGACAAGGTAAAATACAGAACTCTGGAAGGGTGGTTTAAAAAGAAAATGCCAGTGAAAACAGTAAGCTGTTCATTTGGGGAACTGTTCCCACACCACCACCACCACCACCACCATCCCATTCCCTTCACCACAGTGTAGCTGGATGAGAGCTTCATAACCCTCCATCTGCAATCAGAAACCAGTTACAATTTGGGCCCCTGACCAAGCTGGGTCAATCCTAGCTCCTATATAGAATTCTCAGATAAAATAGGAACTCAGTTAAATTTGAATGTCAGATTAACAATGAATAATTTTAAATATAAGCATGTTCCAAATATTGCACTGAGATATACACACTATAGTGGTGTTACCAGATATGCCAACAATAGCTGCAAATGCATAGAATACTCCCTATGTTCAATGCATTGTTCTAAGTACTTTATACATATTAACCCACTAACTAAATGAAAACATATGGATATGTAAACACATGCCAACATATGGATGATTTCAGGTTAGGAAAAATGGACTGAGTATTTTTAAATTTTAGAAAATATGCAAAACTTCCTACAATTAAGACATGTAATACATTGTCATTAATGTACAAACCAATTTGTATACAACTTAGAATATAAAAATAAAAACTTAAAGGTAGATACACTAAAGTAGAAAAAGCAGTGGATTGAGAATCCAGGGGTCTAGATTTCTGTTCCTGCTCATTAGCTAGCTGGGTGACCTTGGGAAAGTCTCCTCACTTATCTAGATCTGGGTTTCTTTATCTGCATGTGAGGTTTGGACGAGATTATTTTTAAGGTCATTGTTGGCCCTAAACTTCTATTATATCTTTTTTTTTTCTGCCTTGGCTTCAGATACTGTATCTTATAATGTTGAAGAAACAGCTTGCAGAGAGAAGTTTATTACCTCTGCAATCATTCGGTTGGTGTCTCCTAAAAAAAGCAAATTCAGAGCTTCTTCCTCTGTGGTTGCCTGATGGAGAGTCAAGTTTTTCAGGTGAATGTTCTGATCAGGATCCTCCAGTATTGTCACTTTCCTAAGCAAATGGGAAGCAAGAAAACAAGGTACTGCTGAGAATGAAAAGAACTTGAAGTCTTCCCTACAGGCTTTTAAAAAGCTGTATAGTATGACGTCTTGAACTTATAAAAGCAAATAACACACAAGATACCAGACAGCACTGGATTAGAATCAAACACTGACATTCCCTTCACAGTACTATCAAATAGCTTTGAGACTGAAAAATATATTACAAGCTCCTGATTTAAAGCCACCTGTCATTGTAATAATCAGATCGCTAAATCATCTTAGAATGCATATTCTTTCTGAATTAAAAATACAGATAATAATTTTCTATCTGCATATCAGGAAACTAGGCCATATTTTTTCTGTGTCATGATTCAGTTTCTTACATAGGCAGTGAACTCATTCCTTTGTTCAATTTCATATCACTTTCAATTTACATGACATTTCAAACTGGTTCACTTACCAACTTAAACGTGATGAAAATTGAGGCATCTGTCATCCTTCTAGGAGTTATTCCCCTATTGAGTTTTCTCATCAAGGTGAATAAAAAATTTTCAAGTCTTATAATAAAGATTTAGCTTGCCATTATTATTTTAATGCCTCTCAAATCCATTTCTTGATCCTTTTTCATTTACAACATACCTTTCCTTCCATTACATCCTTTTAGTCAGAGCCTTAGATCTGGAATTACATTCCTCTATTACAACTACCTTAATGGGCATCCTGATGCCAACACCGTTTCCTCCCAGGTGAATCCTAACCCTGTTTCCAGAGTTGGCTTGTCAATACTCTCCCTAAAGTCCTTTCAGGACTTTCTGCAGTGGAACAAAATTTGGCTAAACTCCTCATACTCTGCTTCACAGGCCTACAGATTTGAGTCATAAAGTTACTAAAGAGAGTTCCTTTCTACCTCTTAAATTTTGCCTTCTTGATTTTCTTAAGAATTGTTAAGGAAAGGAAATCTTATTATTCACAAGTATTGCCAAAGAGTATCTCAGGTATCTTCACTCGTTTAAAACATTTGGAATTGTTGACACTAAGTAAATGTTGGCATCATCCAGCACTACTTTTCCTTTAAAAGAAAAACTAGCAGATGGACATGTGTAATTTTCTTTTTTATAAAAACTTATTAAGAATATCTTAAAAATGAAGATTTTGCAAGTATCATAATTTTTTTCATCTTTCCCTTTTGTAAGAAAGTTATCTGGACTTTCATATGTAATTTGTGAGCACTTAAAATCCTAATGGCAGGAAGAAAATGTAGCTCTACCAGCACATCTGTGACCAATATGTCACTAATAATGTCCTCCTTTGCCAAGTTTTAGACTCTTTTTTGTTTCCTTCAACAATACCAGCAAAAATGGAAAAAGATCTTTTCTCTTAATGAAAACAAGTGTAATTTATTTATTTTTCAACAAGACTCTTAAGTGAGCTTATTAAAAATGCTTGGAAAAGAGAAAGGCATTTGAATTGAATTGAATTGAAATGGATGAGTTGTATTCTATTTTTAAAAACTCCCTTTATTCCTTAAACTTTATTTCCACCCTGATTTTTCTGAAGTGCTCAAGAAGGTTTGGCTAAATTAAATCCCTAGAGACACGGAAGTAATGATTCTTCCTAAACCGACAGATTCTGGGGCTTATAGGTGAGAGAAGTTAAGTAATATTGGAAGATAAAGTAACAAAATAAATAATGAGATGGTATATTAAAAGTGAGAAAAGGGCTAGGTGCAGTGGCTCAAGCTTGTAATCCCAGCACTTTGGACACTGAGGTGGGAGGATGGCTTGAGCCCAGGCATTCAAGGCTGCAGTGAGCTATGATTGTACCACTGTCCTCCAGTCTGGGAGACGGAGCGAGGCCTTTTCTAAAAAAAAAAAAATAACTACATAAAATAAAAAGAGAGAGAGAGAAAAGAAGAGAGTTCTGCCTTTGTCAGCATGAAGTCAAAAACGAATTATCTAACTCTAAGGCAAAGTCACCTATGATACACTTTGAAAGACCAAGACAGATACAATACTATTCTTGTGCAAGTTTGGAAAAGGGAGAGATGGGGTAGCAGCAAACAATTCAAAGGTGGTGCATACACTCATTGGGCACTAAATGTACGTCAGGCACTTGCCTTATTTCATTTAATCCAGGTGTTCCCAAAAGGAACTATCTGTGGATACACACACCCACCCCCACCCACCCCACTCTCCCCAGACCCCCATACACAGCACTGCTGCTTAGGTCCCATCCTAAGAGATTCTGATTTGATTGGTCCAGGGTATGGTCTGGGTATTAGAATTTGTAAAAGTCCCAGGTGATTCTAGTGTGCAGCCAAGGGTGAGAGCCACTGACTTCATTTTTAATATCCCTTCTAGTAGACACATGGAGAGGAGGTTTCTGATTTTTTATCTTTACTTTCCATCCTGTTCCACTTCATGCCCAAAGGGTAAAATTACTAATTTTCTTGGTTGTAAAACACCTGAAGACACTGATGAGTCATATCTACTAATAGGCAAGGTCACTGAAAATTTTAAAAAGACTGTCTTTCCAGGGCAAGTTTCTTTTCTACCTCCCTGACCATGCAGTTGGTGAGTATACTAAGCCACACAACATTAACCACACAATAACTAACGCTCAACTGGGGATTATGGGTCTCCCTAAACATCCATAGGGTTTATATAATTACTGAATCAAAAAATGTAAGTAATAGTAAGGACACCTAATACCTATATCTCTCACCATTACTTCACTGAAACAGGAAATGCAGAGAACAAGCAAGTATGGAATTCTAAGCATGCTCATTTATTAGAAAACCTTATATGGGTCACTGATTTGCGATTATATTTATATAGAATAATTACATGCATAAGGTAAAAAGTGTTAAATGTCATCAGTGATATTTGGCTAAGCTACTTTTTTCTTCTAAATCACCCAGAGCCTTTGATCTCCAATGTAGCTACTTCAGAACTATTACACTTCTACATTTACTTCCAGGTGCTTGTCCAGCTTTGTCACAAAATACACTTTGTACATGCCCTTGGCGTTTCTTCATAGAACTCTCGGCTATCTTTTGTAACACATCCCTGTGCGTTAATATCATGTGTTCCTCACTTTTTTCTGATTTCTTGACCATGGAGGTTTTGAAAAGTAAATACAAAGGCAGGTTAGAGTTTTCTTTCATGGGCTTCCCCCTGCTTAGGGCTCATTTGTGGGCACGCTATAAAAGGGTCCACTTCTGGCATCCTTCTGGAATCTTTGAAACACAATCTTCCCTCACCAATCAGGGTCTCTTCTTGCCAGTTTTCAGATTCTTTTCTGATTTCTGCCCAATCCCTTGGGCATGATGCTTTGGACTTTCCCATACTGCCCCGCCTGCCTCCCACTGAAAATCCTTTTTGCACTAAGTCTTGCAGCCAGTGCGTCAGCCCCACCTATGTTCATGCCTTTGCTCATAGAAGCCCAGCCTGAGCCATGCCCTGGGCACTACGTCTATTGCCTGGGAGAGGTAGTTGCAGAATGAGAGTGTTTTAAATTCTACTGCCAGTGAAATGGTTTTTCAAAGTTGAAGGAAATAAGGACCATTACAAAAAGTTTCTCATCAAGTTCCTTCCTTTCCTGGCCCTTTCTTTCCCTCTGTCCCTCACAAATCAATAGCTATTTCCTGAATCCTTAATCTACCACTTGGTTCTGACTGTAATTTTCATGGGCTTGAAAGAGGGCTTTATTAGAGTTTCTTAAATAAACATTCTAATTCCAAGATGGAAACCCCCAAACTATTTATTTGATTTTTTTTAACAGGCCTGTGAACAGCTTTCCCTACAAAATGTTTCTAAAATATTTAGATTTCAAGAAAAGTCACTGATAGCCTTAACTTGGATACCTAAGTGGAAAAGTTCTGCTAAGTGTACTCAGCCTGCTTAATGATGGGGAAGAAGCAAGCTTTGTGTTTTCTCTGTAAACAGAGAATCTTTTCCATTTGGCTAAGTAGTTGGAATTTGTAGACTCTTTTTAACTGACTGAAGCACATATAAAGAGCAATAGGCAGGCTCTTGTTCTCAATAATGGAAGCTATCAATGAAAGAATCCTCCACCCCACACCCTACCTCCACATTTCAGTACCATCAACTTGCTGAAAAGGAACTTCCCAGCCATTACTGCAAGGAACATGGTTTCTAACGTTCATGTTATATATAAGTGTTGCCATGGTGATTTCTATTTTTTATCTATTTGCAAATGTCCCCTATGATGGTATAGGTCATGCACTATGCAATGGCGCCATGTCTGAGGGGGTGCTATTCACATCATGGGTTTGTATAGTTATCACGACAAATGTCTGTCATAAGGCAATGAAGAGCCTCCTAACAAAATCAGCATACTGCAACAATTTTCCAATAGATGGCAGAGGTGCCTTTTAATAAGTGACATAAAGGTGACTTGAGGTCATACAGACTAGAGGCCATTCCGTCTAGACACCCTGACCTAGAGCAATGTCAAGAGCAGGTGGGCCTCATGACAATGGGTGGGGGTGCACCAGGCTCTTCTAAATAACTAGATATGTTTCACATGTTGTAAACATAGTCCCAACACAAGTCACTTAAATAAAGAGAACATTCACTTGTTTGTCAGTTCTCAATATCCTTTTTGTTTCTCCCCAACACATTTTCTCAGAAGCTCTTTATGGTGAAGGTTTAGGGAAAAGCAGAGATGTAAAGTTTTAGGAAAAGTATGTAAGGTGACCCCTCCTTTCTGCATTTAAACAATTTCAAAGGTAGATTTTCTTAGATTGATTACAACTTTCTAAAAGGTTTCTTTGGTTATAAAATATAAATACTTGAAATATGTTTCTTGGGAAAGATTCATGAACCTGCAATATATTTTTGTGTTAGTGTTGACCTAGACAAAATGGGCTAAAAGCAATGGACGTTTTGTCCATTACTGAGATATTTCAAAAGCTCTTTCTAGTAGCTTGAAAACCGTATCTTTTCTTTGTAGTTTTATCTAACATCATATCTTTTCACTGACAATGAAGAATATAGCTGATCACATGACATTCGTAAACTAAAAATAAAATCCTAAGCCCCTCATCCAACTGAATGGACCCCCTATTGGCCACGGGGACCCCAGAAAACCTGACAAACTGAATTCCCAGCCATGATAGGAAAGAAGGTTGGACACGCTTCGTTATGCGCCCTCCCTTTTGGAGTTTCGGCACAACTGACTAGCATTAATGTTAAAACAGAGATCATAAGACTCACAGAACAAACTTTTTGTGGCAATAAGACACCAAATTATAAACAAGACCCAAGGCCATGCCAGACTAGTGTTAAGTCACACCCTACAAATCACAAAATCTAATTAAAAGGTTTTTAAAAATTAATCCAATATAATGTGGCTTGTTTTCCAACCTGACTGTGATGTAGCATCACAGCACAGATAACAGACGTCCCCAGTCTCAACTTAAGCATTCCTTTGTACTGACTTCAAGTCATTAGACAAAGCTTAACTCTTTCAACCAATTGCCAACCAAAGAATCCCTAAAACCCAACTCTGACTTCTAAGTCCCTCCTTTGAGACGGTCTACCTTTTCAAACTGAACCAATGTATGCCTTTCATCTGTTGATTTATGATTTTATAATTCCTGTCTTTCTGAAATGCACAAAACCAATCTGTAACCAGATTGCTCAAAATAAACCTCTTTTTATTTTATTCTTATTGGCTCAAAATAAATCTCTTTAAAATATTTTACAGAGTTTCCTTTTTCTGTTAACACGTTTTAGAAACTAAGTTAGTTAATATAATCTGCAACCTACAACACCAAGTTCTAACTTTTATAAAAGTGAAAACACTAACAAATAAAATACTTTATCAGAAGAAGTCCAAACTCAGCACTGCAAAATATTCTGAGTAATTCTTGTGATAAATTTTTCTTTTGCTATCCACATGAATTTCTTTTATTTCAAACTGGCAAATATCTCCTCTAAATATTATCATTTTTATTTCTAATTTACCTTTATTGCTAAATAATAATGTTAATAGACTTGGACTCTTGTAAGTCTGAATTCCCAAAGATCTTAACCAACCTCCTAAGGTTATCCTGCTACCATAAGCCTGCCATTTCAGAAGTGCTGGCAATCTGTAAATGATTTATTCCCTGTCTGAAGAGGAACAGAATTGAAATAACCAATGGATAAAGTCATTTAATGTAATGTAACCAACAGGGTTCAAGGATGCATAGTGACAATGAGGAACCAGCTGCACACTCTCCAGAAGTGTCTGCTGCTTACTGTGCTCGTATGCTTCAATATGCCATGAAAATGAACGTCACCAAAGGGACTCAGGACATAACTGGAAGCTGTTGGCCACTGCTATGGACATGTGAAGCCCAAACAAGAATGATCTATGATCAGCAAAGATAGAACCATACTAGGTGCAATTAATGTGTAGGAGAACCAACGCTTTCTCAGGGGTGATTGCACTCATTTATTTATTAGTCACTATAATTTAATCATTTCACTAAGATTGAGCATAAATACGAAACATTATGTTATTTCCATTGTCTTTTTTCAAAATAATACCCAAATATAATAAAGTTTTAGATTGCTAATAACTTGATAAGAATATCTTTCTGTATTATGTTAATCTAACCAAACTATTCCATGCCCTAACAATATCACTTCACAACCATCAATGGCGCCCAAATCTACTGTATTGAAACATGGTTTATCATACACTTATCTATTGCCCGCCAGACATCATCATTTGCATGCTTTTCCAAAAGTGAATATTTTAGATAATCAAAAAACTGTGCTTGTTACGCTAGTATTCCTTGCTAATTTCTAAAAACATTCAGCCATATCATGTTCCTTCTGATGCTCCAGGCTTACAAATAACCCACCACTTAATGAAATGTCTTGTTTGGCCTAATTCCATATAGTAATTATACAGCCGTGCACTAAAATTTGTTTTCTTTAGAGCTACCAACTTTTTTTCAAAGGAAGTTTTCTCCCATTTTTACTAATACTTGCTTTCTTATTCAGATTTTATAGTGATAGTACCACAAATTATGTACTCAAGTTTTCCACATTTGGGAAACCTATAAGAATAGATACATCTAGAGGCAATGGATTTGTAATTCTGGAAAACCATAGCATTTCCTCTGCCAGGTAAATAGCTTTATACACCTCTTAGTTTATGATACTACATTTTAAAAGTTCTGAATTTATTTACTTTTATTTTCATTTTAACATTCAGTTTATTATTTTTCCAACTATAAGCATAATACATGCTTCTTGTGAAAAAGTATGAAAGTAGAAAGAACCAAGAAAGCAGAGCCTCATCACAAGGACAATGTGGTATGTTAATATATTGCCTTAATTTTCTTACACACACTTTGCAGATTTGTCATAAAATTATAAATGTATGCATGTTACTCTCTTTTGATCACCCCTTAACAACATTTTATTTATTTATTTATTTATTTATTTATTTATTTTGAGGCAGAGTCTTCCACTGTTGCCCAGGCTGAAGTGCAGTGGCACGATCTTGGCTCACTGCAACCTCCACCTCCTGGGTTCAAGCGATTCTCCTGCCTCAGTCTCCCAAGTAGCTGAGATTACAGGTGCTCACCATTGCACCCAGCTAATTTTTATATTTTTAGTAGAGACAGGGTTTTGCCATGTTAGCCAGGCTGGTCTTGAACTCCTGACCTTAGGTGATTTGCCCACCCTGGCCGCTCAAAGTGCTGGGATTACAGGTGTGAGCCACCGCACCCAGCCTACAACATTTTTTTAATAGTTACACAATATTTTAGGGTTAGGATGTATTAATGAAATATTTTAACCATTCCTTTATGAGAATTTGTTGTTTCCAATTTAAAGCTGTTTTAAATAACACCGTAAGATAGACACACACACACACACACACACACACACACACACACGTACACATATATCTTTAACTGTATCAATATATATCTGTTCCTGAAGCTTTTGAAATAATTCATATTTTCTCCTTAGGGATGATTTCTGGGGGTGACGTTACAAGATCAAAAGTTATGAACAGCTTTAAGGCTCTCATCATACCTGGGAAGCCTATAGCACCCTCTGTGGAATGGACAAACCTGGGCTGAGATCCTGGCCTCCCGCCATGTGCTAGCAGTAAGTCTTTGGCATCTTAGGAACTCTCGTTGCATCTCTGTCTCCTCTATAAACTGAGGACAATATCACCTCTACAATGGACTGTTGAGAAAAAAATCATGTATTTAAGTTCCTTGTTCATCGCTGTGCCCCAGGCCTAAAAGGACACCTGTTTATGTTTGATGCACAATAATACATTGGATGAATGAACAAATGTGCTTAGTAGTGTATGTTGCACATTAAAATCCAATAAATAGCAACTTCCTTGAAGGTAGGCAGTAAAATGCTTTCCAAAAATGTTATACTGATTTACATTCCTACTGTATGAGAGGGACTGTTTCACTATTATTTTAATAACACTGAACATTAGTTTTTAAATTTTTGCTAATATTTTAGGTTAAAATGTTCTGTTTAATTTACATTCTTTGAATGGTTAATGAAATTGAACCTATTTCAGCCAGGCGTGGTGGCTCATGCCTGTAATCCAAGCTCTTTGGGAAGCCGAGGTGGGTGGATCACCTGAGGTCAGGAGTTCAAGACCAGCCTGGCCAACATGGTGAAACCCCATCTCTATTAAAAATTCCAAAAATTAGACGGGTGGGGCGGCGGGCACCTGTAATCCCAGCTACTCAGGAGGCTGAGGCAGGAGAATGGCTTGAACCCAGAAGGCGGAGGTTGCAGTGAGCCAAGATCACACCACTGCACTCCAGCCTGGGCAACAAAAGCGAAAATCCAGCTCAAAAAAAAAAAAAGAAACAAAGAAATTGAACCTATTTCCAACTGTTTTTTAACCGTTATATTGTTTTGTCTTTTGTCTACTTATTTGGGGTACTTAAATGTATGAGCTCTTTATATATAAAATATTTTGTTTCTTATATTTATTAGGCAAATTTTATATGTGCTTGCTTTTTAACTTTGATGTATTAGAAATTTTGTTTGTTTTAACACATAAAAGTTTAAATTCTTATAATGTATCAATCTTTTCTTTTATTTCTGTACTTTTTAAGCTTAAAGTCCTTCCAAATCAACAGAGTATATAAAAATTGACTTTTCTTGTACTCTTTTGGGATATGAGTAGATGGAATGAAATAAGGGCTCTAAATGGATTTTTCCTCTCCATCAATGATTGTGTGGCTCATGATGCAGTTTGCCTGTATGGGATCTGTCCTCCCCTTCTCCCTAACTATTAGGCTTTGATTTTGTTCAGGGAATTATTTAAAGACACTAGACTTTCCCAGATTCTCTTGCAACTAAGGCTGCCCATATCACAAAATTCTGGTCAGTGACAAATAAGTGAAAGTCATTGGATGGAGCTTCCTGGACATGAGCAGCCTCAGGCAGCAGGTGCCTGTTTCCTTCCAGAAATGTGCACGAGATGCTGGAGGTGAGGCAGCCATTTTGCATGATGACTAAAGCTGCCCACTAAGAATGGCTGTGCAGAATGATGGAAGGAAGCCCTGAAGGCATCCTGGAGCTTCCACAGCAGCCCTCCCTGCCTATTTTTAGAATCTTTAAGGTGCGGTGGTGTGGGAGAGGTGAGGCTTGGGGTGTGGCAAGGAACAGACTATTTGGTTAAGCCATTGGAAGTTAGGCTGCTATTACCTGCAGTTGTTAATTTACTAACACAAATGTCCAATACTGTTGACTGAAGAATTCTTCCCTCTACCTACATTAAATGATTACATTGTATAGAATATGATTCTGGTTTAATCTGTTTGCTTTTCTTCATCTGTTTAATTTAGAAGTAGTATAACATGATTTCATTATTAGAACTTTTACTTAATTTGAATAGATAGTGTCATTAATTTTCTCTCACTTCTCTACTTTTTGAAACTTTTGTTCTTCTTGGTTGTCTATCCTTTCAGATAAACTTTGGAATCATATATATGTTTTTTAAAGCCTCTGTGATTTTGTTTGGAATTTCATTGAACCTACTCATTAATATGAGAACACCCCTTTAAGGTATTCCTATTGCACACTCAGAAACAGATTAATAACTATCTATTTTCAAGTCTTCTTTTACTTTCACAGAAAAATGTACTATCTTGTTCATAAAGTTCTCGAACATTTCCTGAGCATTTTACCTTCTTTTGCTATTGTAAAAGAGATCTATTTAGCCATTATTTTTCTAAATGGATTATTCCTAGGGCTTGCTTCTTAGATCGAGTTAGGTAAATACTAATAGATAATAGCTGGCCAGTTGGTCTGAATACCATCAGTCTTATCTCTGTTTCATAATAACTAACTTTCGTTTTGTAGAACATCTTCAACTACCTTAGAATTCAATGTAAAAACACAAAGCCAATTACAATTAACTGTGGAATCACACATAGGCTAACTGCTACGGAAGTTCCAGAGCAGGGAGATTAATATACTGCTTGTGACCTTCATCACCTGGCCCAGATAACTCCTCCAGCCATCTGACGTAATCTCTTCACTTCCCTCACCTAGACTTCATTCTAAAGGCTCTTCCCATGTGTCCCCTCTCTCAGGCCAGCTCAGCTCTGCTCCCACCTCAGCAGCACTGTCAGCTCTTGGCTCAGTCAGAACTTGCCATACGTCAGTAAAATTAGGAAACCATTGAGGGTTATGGGAGCAGAGACGGGGGTGTTAAAAGGGGCCTGAGTAGGTAGTGACAGGAAACAACTGGCTGAAGTGGGCTCCTTTTATGAGATGACTGCAGCTCTAAATCATGTGTATGCTCTTTTCACATGTACATACATTATTAGTGGGATAGTCGAGTGTGGTGCAGAAGCCTCTTCAGGTGTTTCATGTGTATACCCCATTTTCCAACTAAATGGTAAGTTAATTGAAGAGACGAATACAGATTAAATTCTTTATAATGCACTCAAAAGAGCTAATTGAGATTCTTGCAATATGGTAAATTGTTGGTATACATGGTATTAACACTCTCAAAAGGTTGTAATAATTTTTTTCTCTATCAGTTGAGCTATAATAGACGTGTTTCTAAACCCTGTACATTTTTCTAAAGAACAGAATAAAGTGATCAAGCAAGCTTAGAATCATTCAAAGCTGTTTGAAATAATCCTAAGGTTTTGCTTCATATACTGAAAATTGAGAATGGATTCTGAAAATGATGTACTATCAGAATAAATCAATTCATAATGCAATCGTGGAGACTAACAGGACAATATGTCAAAGCAAGACAAATCCATACTAATACACAGTTTAGAATGTGTATTTCACCTCTTAATGGCTGAAGAAAGTGTATGCATTTGTTCATACACAAAGCACAAGGAAAATGGAATAGATTGAGGTGACAGTGTTTTTCCTGTCATTAATTCATGTCACTAAAAGCTCTAAATATCACAGATATATTTCTATATTCCAGATATACGAGTGAAAACACTGAAACTCTTTCTTCCCATCCTTCCACGCATCACTTATTAGGCAATGGTTGGTGAAAGCTAACATTTCTATTATATGGATTAAATGTTTGTGTCCCCTCCAAATTCATATGTTGAAGCCCTAACTTCCAATGTGATGATATTTAGAGATGGAGCTTTTGGGAGGTAATTCGGTTTAAATGAGGACATGAGGGTGGGGTCCCAATCCCATGATGGTATTAGTATCCTTATAAGAAGAGCTCTCTCTCTCTTTCTCTCCTCACCAGGCAAGAAGGCAACAGTCTGCAAGCCAGGAAGAGAGCCCTCACCAGACACCAAATCTGCCAGTACCTTGATCTTGGACTTCCCAGCCTCCAGAACTGTGAGAAGTAAGTGTCTGTTGTTTAAGCTACCCATTCTATGGTATTTTGTTATGGCAACCCAAGCTGACTAAGACAACCTCCTAATTGTCTAAGACATTTCTGATACTGAGAACAATCTCCTTCAATTGGCTACTGAGAGTAGAGGAAGCCAGCTTTCTCCCTTGTTATTACTCTAGTAGGTTGGGCTAGGCTTCGTGTGGAATTATGTCATTTTCGGGCTATGGGGGCTTTCTATTCCTTCATCATGATTACTGACAGTGTTTCAGTTCTCAATGTACACAGTCCCTGGCCAAGACATAGAGTAGGACTTAACATCACTGGTCACTGGTTACTCATTTCATCCTACAGGAAAGCACCCCCAACTCCTCAAGAGGCTGCCATTCCAGCTGTGTCAGTAATTAACTCAGTTTAAGAAAAGACTGGAGTTAGCTTTAACTTTGAGATCTATGCTTATAGGCCTAGGAGTCCCCTCAAATCCCCATAGGAGACAGAAAAAAATAACACAAATGAAACATGTAATGCAAAAGGTAGTAGTAAGGACTGAAGGATGCATGCCTCATCTAAAAGCACTAAGTAAAAAATTCTTAAACACAAAATGTGTAGGCCAAACAAAACAGGTTTAGGGCTGACACAAGGAGGGTCCAAAGTGTATGGGGGAGAACTGGCTTCCAAAAGGACAGAGTTCCTGAGACTAGAGGAAAGTAGGTAAGTGAGAAAAAGGGTGAGAGGCAGGAAGCTGAGGAAATTCATGTTTGACAGTTTCCATATTCTTTCTGAGATAGGGATACAACTGGTTCCAAAGAGATTTAGGGCAGGGAGTAGTTTACCAAAGAGATGAACGTCTGGTATAATCATTGTGAGGATGGGAACAAAAAGCAGCGGGCACATGAATGTGTTGCTCAGCAGGCTGAGGGCCCAGCTGAGGTTGGAGACCATAATGTGGTGGAGCCTACTCCAGTCTTCTCTGAATCCCCAGATTGAAATCAGTTTCCCCTCTTCTGCCCCCACAGAATCCAGGGCATCTTGTCACTTACTATGCACAACTGAAATGATCAGTTTATGAGTCTGTTCTATTAGAACCACAGCCCTTTGAGGCCAAGAACATTTACTTTCAGACCTTTGCAGAGAGTCTGACATGCACCAGATGGGGCTGAAATGGACAAGCTTTGGCTCACCCAGACTGACACAAGTGGCTCCAGAGGCCTAAAGAAACCTAGAAACCACAGTCTGCTTCAGGTGGAATACTGGGATATGACACAGATCTCTTAGGAAAGAACACCAGCACCCCCAGCTCTGATGTTTAATGGAACACGGTTAATATCCTGGTTCTAGCTCTTAGCAGACATGAAATCCTGGGGTAACAGCACACAATCTCTGTGAACCTCAGTTTTGTCAACCATAAAACATGGATTATAATACCTACTTCCTTAAATGAGATAATGTATGCACAGTCCTTAGCATAAAAACTGGCATAAAATAAGTGCTCAATAAATACTGGTTCACTATCCTCTTTGGAGAGATTTTCCTGGTATTTCAAAAAACAACTTTCCCTACGTGGATGAGGGAAGGGATTCAGGCAAACCTCCGGCATTAGAATCACCTGGGATGTTTATTCAAACATGTGAATTTTCTGGGGGTGGAAGCCAGGAATTAGCATTTTTAACAATCATCCCAGGTGATTCTTACACTTAGTTAAATTTCAAGCCACTGGATTATGAAGCCTTCCAATTTAGTTCCTTTGTTTTTTTACTCCCACTGCCACCTAAGTAGTCCTAGTAACTTCCCACAATGCTCTGACTCTTGTCCACCTCATTCCAGTCCTACACACTACTAACTGATTTTTCTTCCTAAAAGGCAATTCCAATTATGCTATGTCCTGGAATCAAAATCTCCAAGGGCTACACCTTGCCTGCCAAATCCTCACATTTGTACCTTGCCAGTCTTAATGCTCCTGCCTACTCCCTTACTGGGTTCCAGTCAAACAGGTCTACTAACTGTCACAGAACAAGCCCTATGCTTCAACTTCTCTTTGTTTCCACACAAAAGCCACACTCCGCTGCCCCAAGTCCTACCCCTTCCCTCAAGGATGATTTCATCTGCTATCTTCCCTATGAATCTTTGCCTGATCTCTTGCATTGATGTGATTTCTTTCTCCTGTGAGCTCTTGTCATTTTTTTTGGCTCTCTTACAATGTTTTTCACATTCCACCTTATGTTATTTTATACTAGCTTTATCCTCTCTGCTACGAGTTCCAGGGAAACAGGGACTACGTTAGCAAACATGGTGCCTAGCACAATGGCTGGAACAAAGTTGGGTCTCAACAAATGTTTGCTGAGTATATGAATGAATTCACATGACTGGACTGTAAGTCATGAGAGCAGAGACTGTGCATTAATTTTTTTGTAACTCCTGCATCACTTAGCAGTGTTTTCTATCCAGTAGGTGTTAGAAATGTGGTGACTTAAATTTAACATTTGGTGACTTTTTCCCCTTTGATGACAAATTATTCAAAAAATACAACACAGCCAAGATTTCAATACTGAATGCTGGCATTTACTGGTTCCTTTTTATAGTAATAACCATGACAATCGTTAGAATCTTAAATGGAATATGCTTCCCTATTTAGGAATACTAAAATTATACTAAAGTAAGGTGACTATTTTCTCTACAGCTGAGACCAACAGTTATCCTGTTTTACTTCATGAGACAAACTTAGATTCTAACTATAGTCCTTTTATAGCATGTGACATAAGAAGCTTTCAAAAATAGAATTTCTATTTTCATTTGAAATACTAAAAAATTTCTAAATACAGAATAGGTTTAATACACATATGTGTGTATATGCATATGTATGTCTATATACAAATATATAGCCAATTACTTTTTAAATTAAACCTTTTGAGATTATTGTAGATTCACATACAGCTATAAGAAATAATTCAGGGAAATCTCATATACCCATTGCCCAGTTTTTCCCAATTGTAACATCTTGCAAAACTATAGTATTAAAATATCACAACCAGGACATTGGCAATCCAATCCACCAATCTTATTCAGATTTTTCCAGTTTTGCTTGTACTCATTTACGTGTGTGTGTGTGTGTGTGTGTATACATTTTAGTTCTATGCAATTATCCCAGTTTTGCTTGTATTCACTTGCATGTGCTTGTGTGTACATTTAATATTTAATTATATGCAATTTCCCCAATTTTGCTTATGTTCCCTTGTGTGTGTCTGTGTGTGCATTTAGTTTTATGCAATTTTATCATATGGGTAGCTTTGTGTATCCAGAGCCACAGTGAAGACACAGAACACTGCATCATCACAAGGATCCTTTGTGTTGACCTTGTCCAACCATTCCCCTGCCTTCCCTAACTCTGTATCCACTAATCTGTTCACCAATTGGAATCATACAGCATGTAAACCTTTCGGGATTGGCTTTTTTTACTCAACATATTTCCCTGGAGATTCATCCAAGTTGTTAATTATCTCAATAGTTCATTACTTTTTGTTGTCACCTTATTAACTAAAGCCTATAGTTTACATCAGGGTTCATTCTTTGTATTGTAAATTCTGTGGGTTTTGACAAATGTATGATATCATGTGCCCACCATTACAGTATCATATAGAACAGTTTCACCACCCAGAAACCCCCTGTGCTTCACCTATTTATTCTTCTACCCGTCCCCCTCAATCTCTGACAATCACTGATCATTTCACTGTCTCTATAGTTTTGCCTTTTCCAGAATGCCATATAGTTTGAATCATACAGTATGTAGACTTTCATGCTAACTTTTGCACTTAGCAATATGCATTTACATTTTCTCCATGTCTTTTTGTGGCTTAATAGCTAATTTTTTTCATTGCCAAATAATATTCCCTTGTATGGATGTACTACAGTTTATCTGTTAACCTATTGATGAACATCTTGGTTCCTACCAATTTTTAGCAATTATGAATAAGACTGCTATATGTATTTGTGGGAAGGTTTTTGTGTAGACATAAGTTTTCAACTCATTTCGGTAAAAACCTAGGAGCGCAGTTGCTGGATCATATGGTAAAAGTATGTTTAATTTTCTAAGAAACTGCCAATTTGTCTTCCAAAGTGGTGGGATCATTCTGCATTCCCATCAGCAATGAATAAGAGTTCCTGTTGCTCCACATCCTTGCCAGCATTTGGTGTTAGTATTTTAGATTTTAGCCAGTCTAATTTGTATGTAGTGGTATATCACTGTTTTAATTTGCAATTCCCTAATGACAGGTGATGTTGAGATTCTTTTCATACGCTATTTGCCATATGTGTATCTTCTTCAGCGAAGTGGCTATTCAGATCTTTTGCCCATTTTAAAAATTTGGGCATTTATTTTCTTATTGTTGAGTTTTTAAAATTCTTTGCATATTTCAGATATAAAAATTCTTTGTATATTTATATCTTTATCAGATATGTATTTGATAATTAATTTCTTCCAGCCTGTGACTTGCCTTTTCATTTTCTTAACAGTGTCTTTCACAGAACAGAAGTTTTAATTTTAATAAAGTTCAACTTATAAATTTTTATTTCACTGGTCATGCTTTTGGTGTTGCATCTAAAAACTCATTGGCAAACCCAAGGCCATCTGGATTTTCTCCTGTGTTATCTTCTAGAAGACTTATAGTTTTGCATGGTACATTCTGGTCTATGACTCATTTCAAGTTAATTTTGTGAAAGGTGTAAGGTCCCTGTCCAGATTCACTTTTTTCATGTGTGCATATCCAGTTGCTCCAGTACTATTTATAAAAAAGACTACCCCCTTTCCACTGAATTGCCTTCGCTTCTTTGTCAAAAATCAGTTGACTATATTTTTAAGGGTCTATTTCTGGGCTCCCTATTCTGTTCCATTGATATATGTGTCAGTTCTCTTGCCATTACCATACTGCCTTAATTACCATCTTTATAGTATGTCTTGAAGTTGGGTGATGTCAGTCTTTTGACTTTGTTCTTCTTCTGTATTGTGTTGGCTATTATGGCTATTTTGCCTTTCCTGTAAAATTTATAGTCATTTTATTGATATCTACAAAATAATTTACTAGGAATTTGCTTTAGATTAAATTGATCTATACTTTATCTACAAATCAAGTGAGAAAGAACTGACATCTTAACAATATTGAGTCTTCTTATCCATGAACATGGAATATCTTTTTATTTAGACATTCTTTGATTTATTTGATCAGCTTTGCAGTTTTCCTCATATAGATCTTGTACATATCTTGTCAGATTTATACACAAGTATTTCATTTTTTGATGCTAATGTAGGCAGTATTGTGTTTTACATTTTAAATTCCAATTATTTATTGTTGGTATATAGGAAAACAATTGACTTTTGTACATTAACCTTGTATTCTGCAACCTTGCCATAATCACTTATGAATTCCAGGAATTTGTCAATTATTTGAGATGTTCTACATAGATAATTGAATCATCTGTCAACAAAGACAGTTGTATTTCTTTCTTCCCAATAACTTTAATTTCTTTTTCCGGTATTATTGCAATTGGCTAGGACTTCCAGTACAATGTTGAATTAGAGTGGTGAGAGGGACATACTTTCCTTGTTCCTGATCTTGGGAGAAAGCATCTAGCTTCTCATCATTATATATAATGTTACCTACAGGCATTTTATAGATATTCTTTATCAGGTTGAGAACATTTCCTACATTTCTAGTTTCCTGAGAGTATTTATCATGAGAAGCTGTTGGATTTTGTCAAATTTTTTTCTGCATCTATTGTTATGATAATATGATTTTTATTCTTTAGACTGTTCATGCCATGGACTACATTAATTGATTTTTGAATGTTGAACTAGTCTTGCATACCTTAAATAAATCTCACTTGGCTGTAGTATATAATTCTTTTTATACATTTTTGAATATAATCTGCTAATATTTTATTGAGGATTTTTGCATGTGTAGTCACAAGAGATATTAGTCCGTAGTTTTCCTTTCTTGTAATGCATTTGTCTGCTTTTGGTATTTGGATAATGCTGGGATCACTGGATGAGTTAAAACATGTTTCCTCTGCTTTTTTTTTTTCAGAAGAGATTGCAAATTCTTTGGGATATTTTAGTAGACAATATGTATGTCTTTTCTTGTTTTTCTTTTACTGAAGTGACTAGTATTTCCATACTATATTGAAGAAAAATGGTGAGAATGGACATTGTTGCATTGTTTCTGATCTTAGGAGGAAAACATTCAGTCTTTCACCTTTACACATTTGTTAGCTGTAGGATTTTGTAGATGCTCTTTAACAAACTGAGGTGATTCTCCTTATTTCTAACTTGTTTAGATTTCTATCAATAATGGGTGTTAAATACTATTTCTGAGCTTCGTATAATTTTTCTTCTTTAGCCTGCGGATTACATTGATTGCTTTTCAAATGTTGAACTAGCTGTGCAATCTAGAATTAATCTCACTTGGTCATGATATAGTATTGATTTTATACATTTGTGGATTCAATTGTCAATATTTTGTTGAGGATTTTTGAGCCTATGTTCATGAGAGATATCAGTCTGTAGTTTTTTTTTTTGTTTTTTTGTTTTTTTTGTACAATCTTTGCCCAGTTTTGGTATTCGGGCAATACTAGACTCAGAGAATAACCTGGGAATTGTTCTCTCTCCTATTTCCTGAAAGAGATTATGTAAAATTGGTGTTAATTCTTCTTTAAATATTTGGTAGAATTTTCCAGTGAAACCATCTAGGCCTAAAGATTTCACTTTGTGAAACTTATAAAATTATGAATTCAACTTCTATAATAGTTATTGAAGTATTCAATTATGTATTTCATCTTGGTTAAGTTTGGTTTAATCACCTTTGATTGTTAATTTAGATGTCAGTATTTCTCACATTTACTAAACAAATGACTATAGCAACATTTGAAAAAAGCAAATGACTTTAGTTTAGTGCCCTGACATAATATATACAAAATCCACAGACAGTTTTATAGGCAAAAGTTCTGCAAGAGCAGGCAAGTGGTACATCTTATAATGTAAAAGAAAAAAAAAATAGAAAAGGCAGAGTGTATGTGAGAAGAGCGTCTCGCAGGTGATATTTGGGGATGCTGTGTCACTCAACGGTAAGGAAGCTGTTACTGATGGCTATTATTGTGCAGCACCAACATGACCCTGAGTTGATTTTATATAGTTAAGCCTTGTATAAGAATGCAAAAGAGATAAAATGGGTATATTGCCATTGTCCCTCAAATGGATGACTATGAGTGGGGATCAAGGTCAACAGACATTTTGCCTACTATGTTTAGAAGGCATTCAAAGTGTTTGAGACATTTCAGCTCACAACAATGAAATCAGTCAACCAGAGAGCTAGAATTTCAGAGTTATAGTATGCCCCAGTTCAAGAGTTTGTAATTAATAGCACATATGCTTAATCAAATCCAAGTACAGCAAAAAAAAAAAAATTCATTATAAATAATTATTTTATCATCTTAGTAAAAGGCAAACTTGTCTAAGGCCCTCAGAAAACTAGCAGATTCAATACCAGTCAAACCTCATTATCTCCACACCTCTGCCTCCCGGGTTCAAGCGATTCTCCTGCCTCAGCCTCCCGAGTAGCTAGGACTACAGAAGCCACCACACCCGGCTAATTTTTTGTATTTTTAATAGAGGTGGGGTTTCACCATGTTAGCCAGGATGGTCTCGATCTCCTGACCTTGTGATCTGCCTGCCTTGGCCTCCCAAAGTGCTGGGATTACAGGCATGAGCCACCGCGCCTGGCCAAGCTTCAAAATTTTTATAGTGGGACCTAGAGAATTAAGGAGTCATTGACTTAAAAAGGAGATTTCCATTAGAAAGTTTGATTGAGTGATGATAATAAATTTTACATAGATAAGTTTGCTGTCTAAGGATATCATACTAGATGTTTATATTTACAATAAATTCCTCAGAGGTAGGAAATATGCCTTACTTGGTTTAGTAGTGTCTCTACTGCCTAAGCCAGAATAAGTCCTTAATAACTTTTAAAAATTATTTGTGGAATTGAAACTGTGAAGCAGACGTTTTGAAATGAGAGTGTAGAGGGAGAAGAACAGAGCATGAGCTCTTTTCATCTGAATCTAATCGACATGGTTTGGTGCAGCCTAACAATGGGAAGAGCTAGGAATGAGAAAAGTCCATTGAACCCTTAAGAGAGGTAACATAATATATAGAAAAAAAAGTACTTGATGAGAAGTCAGGGAATTTGGGTTCCAGTCCCAGTCCTACAGTCTTAGGTAAGTTATTTCATTTTTCTGGATTTCTCTGTTTATAAAATGTGGGCATTGGATTAAGTAATATTTAACAATCTTTCAACCTCCAATGTCAAGAGTTAAAAAGACTGGTGACCTTCACAGGAGAGGACTTATTTGTTGAGTTTTCTATCCTTCACAAAAGAAGAAAAAGTGATTTCAGTATTTTCAAATGGGCTTCTTTTAGAAAAGAGCAAGCTTGAGAGCAAGCGCAATGCCTTAGTCCACCCTGTGTCCTCCACATTTCTCAGCATGGCTAGCATTCAGCAGTCATTCTCAATGCTGGTCAGATTGTCTCCAGAGATGTTGCTAGCTTTCATCTTCAACGACTTCCCCTCCTTTAGTAGCTTTGTCCTCTTGTTGGAGAGTTCACTGACTCAAGTTAGAAGTGACCTCAGTTATATAACAGTTGTTTTCAAGAAACTTCCACACACATACACAAAAGTGGTCTAAAACTGTTCTTATTCTCACATTTTGGACTGTAATTACATGACAACAGATCCCATTAAAATAAAAATGTCATTAAGAAAGAAGAGTCCCATATCCAAGTCAATAGCCTATTTCTTCGAATATATTCACTACTATAAAATTTCAGAGCAATTCAAGAATTGGATAGTCCTTTTGGTGTGGAGATAATGCAAATTAAAATAAACAACTGATTTGTAATCTTTTTGGGAGAGAATGAATATGTGTTTCTAAATTAGAGTATTTAATAAGAATATAAAGATACATTTTCTTGGCTATAGGCTACTTTTGATATATGATGTCTGAACAAAAGTATATGAACAGTTGCCAATTAATATATGTCTAATATAGGCAGATATTCAAACAAGCATTGAGCAATGTTATATAAATGCTGGCAGGGTAACTTGCTCCATTATTAGATAAATTTTGAAGACGCTATTTAAATTTCAGTCATGAAACAATCAGTGCCAATCTGATCAAATGATTGCCAAAGTTAGCATTAACCATAGTAGAGAAGCATTTGAGGAAAACGTAAAAATGTTATTTTCTCTGTCTCAGATTCTCTTATTGCTGCTTGAACTCTAATTTGAATACCTTCTTCTCAGAAAGAGGCCACAATTAGAAGAGCAACAGGGTTTCATGTGGCAGGAAGAAAGTAGTACTGTCATATCCCATCAATCCTCTAAGCACCCAATCTTAGAGAAAATTCATTGCACTCTCTTCTGCCAACTCCAAAAGAGATTTTCCCAAGAAATGAGTTTCAGGCAATTTTAGTTCCCATCACTACTGTCCATTTGTCATAACTGAAAAAAAAATCCATTATATTACAAAAAGATACGGTTATCCAGTATTTGCTAATTATGATTGAGACCAGAAACATACAAAGTTTCAAAGAAAACAATTGAAGAGAACATCTGAAAGTAATTTCCCTCCATTCTTTGTTGTTCTGCTACTCACGGCAAATCTTCCAAACTGGAGGCTTCATGTCTTGGATCCAAAAGATCATAACCACATTCATTGTAGATTTCCAAATAGGAAATGTGTGTTGTATATATTTTGCTGCTGTCCTGATTGGAAAAGGGAAAGGTATTATTTATCGGTTATAACAATGATTCTGCTTAGATGAAGATGAACACATTTAGCACTCAGTTTCCTCATAGTTTCTCTCTTTTTCTCTCACTTTATATGGTTTACATTTTCAGTTCATGACACTTTCAAGTTGCCAGTTACCATATGCATGAAGCTTTTTTTAATGGCCAACACCCATGATTACAAGCAACTTCAGTCTGTTATTTTTTATTGGTTCCACATTATACATAAAAAGTCAATATACACTTACAATGAGCCAACTTGGTTGCAGAACTGTATAACACACCATTTTTTTTACTTTCCAGACCAAAAAAGGTTACTAAAAAAAATAAACATATTCTGTGAATAGTCTATTCATAAAAAAGAACACAGATCATTACTTTGGTTTAAAAATTTTAGGAGCAAAATAGTTTCCATCTTTAATCATCATTCTTTTTCTACTTTTCTAATATTCAATATTTTCTGATGACATAAATAGATAACAATGAAAGTGACATCCAGAGGACAGAAAATAGTTGATTAGTCAGGTATGAGTGGACATTAATAGTTCACTGCCAATACCTCACCTGTGGAGTTAATTTTCCTGGCCCAAGAGGGCAAATCAGAGATGTTTAGCTATTAGATAGAGAGAAATGAGAGAAATGTTTGTGGTGGGTCACTGCTGAAATGCAATGACATAGGCATCAATGTAATGAGGCTAAAAGTAAAGGTGCCTGGTCCTAGTCTCAATTCTGCCAATAGACAAAAATGACCCATTCCCTCTGAGGTGGAATAAAATAAGGAATTTTTTCAACTCTTGAGAAAGTTCAGTTTTCAATACAAAATATCAAACAATAGCACCTTCTTTTTCTTCCTCCAAAAATACAAATGCTTCCATTTCCGCAAATATTATCATGCTTCTCATAAGAGGAGAGTATATTTGGGTCTTGTGGCAAGCAGGTTGCCAGGGTGTCAGAGTGTATACTAACAGAGAATTTGCTTAGGATGACTTTCCTGATTGATTCTCACCCATTTCCAAGGCAATCCATTTAATAGGTTTTGTTCAAAGGGAGAGAGGACCAAGTCACAGAGATAGGAGAGAGAATAGTGGCCCATAAATAAAAAGCTGGACTCCTACTCTAACTAGAGTTGAGCCTCTACCATGTCAGGCCTTCATTTTCAAACTCATTAAAGTGAGGAAGTTGGCTAATAAATCCCTATCTGTTCTTCAGTGTAAAATGAATGATTCTTTGGTTCTAAAATGGCTCCAATTATCCAAATAAAGATACTGTCATTTCAGAAAAACAAAATGATAAATGAACAATTAAAGCAACTCTCAGCCTTCCATGACTATAATAAAAACACTCAAGCTACAGCTGAAATTCTATATTCCGGTGTTCTGTGAAGGTGACATGGACCGAATTACCAAGCAATTTTTTTTCAGCGTAATGCTGAAAATTCTTCTGATGTGGATGACTCTAATGCTTATCCCAACAAATGGCCTATTGATTACATTAGTATCCTAGTTTAGTAAAGGTACTATTTCAATATAATTCTTTGGGTTATAACTTGGCTTAGCACAGGTGTCAGAGACTATAAACACTAAAAAGACTTGGTGTGGCTGTTAGTCTAATCCAATGTTTCTAAAATATTCCATGGAATACTCCTGGAAAACAGAGTTCCATGGTCAACATATACATAGACTCTGTCCCTCTCTGCAGCATGTCAAAGGCCCTAGGGGATATTTTGGCAACATTCTGAGATCCTGTTTAAACCAACATATTTTTAAAATTTATCCAAAATATCTGAAATAACCCAGAGATTATGATTTGAGAGTTTAGTATACATTTCTGAGTTCTTCTTAGCATCAGATAACAACTGAGTTTGAATATTGAAACTCCATTTATAACAGAATAATCCCACACCCTTATCCTCAGCTGTTTCACCATAAAAATGGGGATAATAGCCCTGATCTTGCATTCTGTTATAACAGAGAAATAAGATTCTATATTTAAAATCTTACAAAAGTGTGTGGCCCATAACAGATATCAACTAATCATTGTTGCTGCTGTTGCTATTATTATTGCTGTAGTTATTGTTTTTATTATTATTTCTAGAAGCCTTCAAATGGAGAATTCAGTATATGAATATAAAAGGAAAGGAAAATAAAAGCAAAATGGACAGCCAACTTGTATGTTTATCTGCAGTGGAGAAAATCTCTTCTTCCAGAAGTTAGAATAAATCATAAAACGTCAGGAAAACAGCAGGTCCACTGCCCTGAGGTGATAGGGATAATGTCTTTGGCTCTTTCAGCTTCTGCATTTTCTGGACTTTCATTGGAAAATACACTTAAAATTCACTGAGCTATGTGGCAAGCTACCTTTCCTTATTACTCCTTTTTAGTGTTTAGGATTGCCAGACTGTAATGTAACACACATGTTTCCTGCAGACAGCCTTTTCTCCTGCCCCAAAACAAGTTTGAAACTCACAATACCAAAAATAATGAGAGTGATTTCTAAAATAAATGGCATCAATTTTCTTCTCTTAAAATCAGTGAAAATGTACTCCTGGCATACTCATAGACATTTCAGGACCCAGTAGGCACTGGGCTCTTACTGTATCTTGAAATGAAGACTTTGCATAGGTCAAATGTTTCCTTTAAGAATTCTAGAGAGCTCCATGTACCTCTCTAAGGCAATCAGCTGGGGACCTCTGAGTACTAAGCTGCATTTTCCAGCTATACAATATGAACAAACTTCATGATGCACTTCAAGTTGCTTGACCAGTTTCACCGCAGCTGTTTGATTATAATGAATGTGTTATGCCCCATCATGAAAATATGTTCATTTACAAAGAGTTACTCTGGCTTTAAATTGCTCCAATGGGCTCGCTGCAAGTCCAGGAAGTTATTTAGGATCATTCAGAATGAAATGGAGTTTACGGTAATGTCAATGACAAACAGATCTAAAACAATGAACCTGACAAATGGTAAGTACTAAGGAGACATTTAGACATTTGGATCTATACTTTAGTAACCATAGATAAAAATTTTAAAGGGACAAAAAATATTTTCCTTTGGGAGAGGATGAGTTTATTCTATTTAACTTAATCATGGATTTGGCTTCATTTGTTTTGAGAGTTTCAAGGGTTCTCTGAAATTGGTCAGGGATCACTTGGCCACATTAATATCCATATGTGGATATTACTGGCTGTGATCATAACTATCATGTATTGAGCATATACTGTGTGCAAGAATCTGGACAATATCTTTAAATACAGTATGTTCAGCCCCTCACAGCAATCCATAAGACTGAGGCATTAAGTAACCGCCCCAAGGCCACATGCTGTAAGCAGTACACTTTCTCAGAACCAGGTTGACCTGTACCTCCAGTGATCTTTCTAAGACAAAAGGATTCCACATTAGGCCACAGCAATGAAAACTATTAGGAATTATATTCCCAGGTTGTGAAATGTGGGAACAAAACAGGCAATGTCAGAAATAAGTGAGTAAATGAAAAAAGGGCTTTGGATCCAACATATATGCTATACTCAATCCTTTCTCATCCAAATTTTCTGGCATGCAAAGCTGGCATGTTTGAGCTAGAGAAAGATGAGCTGAACTAATGGATAATTGCTACTTTATGGATGGCAATTAGAATTATGCAGATCTCAGCAATTTCTTCTCATCTTTGCAACTCAAAATGCAAACAATATACAGTCAAGAAATTTTGGAGTGACTGTTATATTGACCTAGTTAAGACATGTATTATACAGAAGTAATACAACCAAGGAATTGCTGGAACTAGTAGGGACACTGGAGATTCTCTAATACAATTCAATCTCTGCTTTCACAGAAGGGAAAACCGAAACTCAGAGAAGGTATGTGACTCATTACGGGGAATTTGTTTGAACATAACCAACAAAATAAAGCCAGTCCGAGGTATAGAAGCAATATACATAATGGCACAAAGCACAGAGTTAGACATCAGGTGGACTTGGGATAGAACTCTAGATCAGCTACTTACAGGATGTGGGCCCAGAGGAAAATATTTAACCTGAGGCTCAGTATTCCCAACTGTGAAATGGGAAGTTGCATTATATGTTATATCAAATACTGGTAAAACTGATAAAGCTACTGGCATTTTGAGGCACTCAATAAATGATACATATAATCTAGATAGATAACCCTTTTTTACAATGGTAATAATTACAACGGTATTTGTACTTTGGTAAATTCCTCTGGGCTTCTATCAAGTGTAAAATAGTAACAATTATACTATCCTGTTTAGTGTTTCAGTAGCTAAAAGAAAGATCTGCTTTGATAAGAAGACATTCCTCAGTTTCTTGAGGAATATAAGATATTAGTTGGTAAAAGGTGTTGTCTGCTCTTTCAACCTTCGTGCGTATATCAGAAGGAAATGTCCTTGAGCCTTTGCTGAAATAGCAGCCCTTTAATGAGAAGTACCTTCTTAATTTTCACTTGTACAGCAAAATCCCAACCTCTCCTTAAAGGTAAAGGCCAAAGTTATGACACAATAAGACTTTATCATTTAGACACAATAAAATACATGTCATAATAAATTTCCTGCTTTCAGTATATTTTTGCTGAATATATCAAATACAAAATGATATGAACGAAAAGTTTCATACCTTTTGTAACTGTTCAAAAATGTATGACAGTGTCCTTGGGATAATGCCTCTGTCACTGTAACGCTCTGCACCCCCTGTGATAGTGAATGTCTTCCCGCTGCCTGTTTGCCCATATGCAAAGATGGTACCATTGTAACCTGCCAGGACACTGCAATAAAGAAATGACACACTTTCAATATCAACATGGCTAACTGCATATGAATTAAATGGCTTGTATTCTAATAACAATCTTATTAAACACTATTAAAAAAACTTTATAGAAATATCTATTAAAAATTTATATATGTGAATATCTAGCTAGAATTTACATTTTTATCTAGGAACAGCAGCACATCAATCCTGTTCTCTAAGAAAGGATGTGCAACACAAATGGAGTTCAGTCATCTTAAATATATTCTTCATCTTTTAGTACACACTGGACTTGAATCAAAGAATATATTGAAAAAAAGTTCTGGGGAAACAATACCTGTAATTTGGCAAACTGTCAACCTGACACCTGGTACCTCACATGGTGTAAACACTCACAATAGTAGTTACTTCCTAGAACAGGAGGAACACACTCTGCTTGCCACCATATACCTTGCAATGTAATTCCCTACTTAATACTAAGCACCAACTGAAAATCCTCTAGGAATTCCCCTCTTCTCTTTTCTTGGAATGACTTTTTGGTAGAAGATGCTAGTCCATATATATTCTTCAGCCCTGCAGAGCGGCCCTTGATTTGATGGTGGTCTTAAGAACCCAAAGGCTGGATCTTCTCAGCCTTTGAAGAGCACCACCTGTAATATAAGCTTTTATAAATATGCATGAAATGATGTAGACTTTCAAAACTGTGTCTTTAATCTATGCTACATGGAACAGTAAACTTTTGTAGCTTTATGTTCGTTTTTTGATACAAGTGGCTCCTTGATCTCTGAGATGTTTTCATTAAACTAGCTACGATGACATCAGCTATTGGTCCCCATGTTGTGGGTGGATTTTTTGATAGATGGCTCCTCTGAGTTCACCCCTCACTGTTCATATTAGAATTCCTCCCTATTAGTTCTGTCAACATCCTATCTACAGTTCTATGTTTCATATGCTTTCATGCCTGTGTGTTGAGTGATCTGTCATTATAAGGGTCTCCTAAAACACACAGGTTTGACTGGAGATTATTCTGAAGTGGTCACTTATGACCACCTTATGCAACTATTAAACTTATGACCACCTTATGCAACTATTAAACTAACAATAATATCTTCAGCAACACGTCAATGCATCTGTTGCTGTGTAGGTAGAAAGTGTTGTTGGTGCTTACAAATTTAATGGACTTAGTACAGGGAATGCGCAAGAAAGTATTGTAACTGTGTGATTCAATGTTCTACTTTTGAGGAGTGTAATCACTTTTCTTCGTGTGTCTTTACATGGAGACAATATACTGTTGAAATTCTCAATTTCTAAGATGTTGGAACTATGACAAAATTAGATATATAATTACAGAATCTTTTTCCTCAACAGAATTTGTTACCAATGAAACATTGATGTCCCATTAGCAATATCATTTGGATATATGATATTTCTTGGCCATAAATGCTGTAGGTAAATGAAGTCTAAAATTTCAAATATCTAATCTTAAACATTTTATTGATTCTTGATAGAAAGAATAGATGTAAAATATTCTAGGCATTATCTGTCTTGAAAAACACCATGGAATACTCTGCAGCCATAAAAATTGATGAGTTCATGTCCTTTGTAGGGACATGGATGAAGCTGGAAACCATCATTCTCAGCAAACTATCGCAAGGGCAAAAAACTAAACACCACATGTCCTCACTCATAGGTGGGAATTGAACATGAGAACACATGGACACAGGAAGGGGAACATCACACACCGGGGACTGTTGTGAGGTGGGGGGACGGGGGAGGGATAGCATTAGGAGATATACCTAATGTTAAATAACGAGTTAATGGGTGCAGCACACCAACATGGCACATGTATACAAATGTAACTAACCTGCACGTTGTGCACATGTACCCTAAAACTTAAAGTATAATATATATAAAAAAAAGCCACTGCCAAGGAAACAAAAAAAAAAGGAAAAAACTACAGAGCACAAATTAATATTTTCATTTTGATATAGATATAGACTACGAAAAGTGAGTAGGTAGTACACTACGTTGGCATCTGCTAAGTGTTATGTCTACTTTTTTATGCTAAAATCTTCTTTCTCACTGCCAGTTGTCCTAGTATGTCTGTCTTTAATATGTGCTCCCCCTACCCCCATCTACTGTGGGATGGAAAACCAGATGACATAGCTTCATAGAACACTGTAAAATAAAAAGGGTAAGGCTTGACCTATATATACTCCCATGGCTATTTATTTATTACGTTGCTACAATTAAACGTTAAATAAGGAAATGTAATCAGGCAAAATTTGTCTCCAGTCCCTTCTGTAGAGCCTCCATTCCAACTCAGTCTTGTAACCACTCTTCAATGGACACTAGGCCTTTTCATGTGCTTCTGGTCTCATCTGTCCTAAGGAAAAATACTAGTTAAAAATAAAGAAAGAGAAATAGTGGTGTAATGAACTTTGAAAATCCATTACTCCACAAGAACAATAATACCAGTGGCAAAAATTGTCAAAATCAACTTTTTCAGAACTCTGGAAATTATCCAAAGGCTCACACCAATCCAAGAAGTGTTTATGTAAGACAAACAGCTAAACTCAGTAGGAACCATGAGCTTTGTGGTATTTTAACTTCAACATTCCCAGCACCTCTCCCTAGCTCCATGGTAGCCTTCAAAAACAACAGCCTTGAAACATTGGAGCTGTGAAATCCAGCAGCCTAGCAACCACTGTAGGGGGCAGTATGGATTTGGGGCTCCTCAAAATGCCCCATCCTCAAAGAGCTGCCACTCTCTGACTCGTCTGGGAGCTCTCTGGAAAAGCTCCACTCATGGTACTTGTCTTTGTTAGACCTGATTCAGAGTTCACTCAGTGTGAGCAGCCCTGTCCTCGGGGTGTTTGTTGAAAAAAAATCAGTGGCAAGTGTTTAACATCACAGCTGGCAAAGCTGCAATGCCAGTGAAGTAAACAAGAACGTAACCAAAAACTTAGAAAAACCTGAGAAATGTGTATAAGGGGTTTCAAAAAACTCTAATGTATTCCTGGGAATCGGGAAGGCCACACACATGTGCAGGACTATATGTATGCCCAGAAAAGACCTGAGAAGGGCATTATAACTCACCTCTGGCTGGCCTTTAGACTGCACAAACAGAAAGTGAGAAGAAAGACAGTGTTACAAACTTCCTCAGCATTGAAGGTATGCCCCAACAAACATGTAGGGACCCTTGTATGTAGGCTGGGAGATGGAGGAGTTCAAGGAATTTAAGGAAATTTATTTCATTATCTTGCCTAAATTTACTGGCTAGTTTGTTGACGATAAATTTGCTCAGTTTTTGTTTATCTTGGAATGTCTTAATTTCTTCTTCATTTTTGAGAATAATATTGCCAGACATAGAAGTCTCTATTTGCACATGACATAATCTTGTATATAGAAAATACTAAGGAATTTACTATAAAATTATGGGAAGTAAGAAACAAGTTCAGCAGGATTGTAGGGTACAAGTCTTAACACTGTGTAGATGGCAATATTCCCTAAACTGATCTACATTTGTGCGATTTCTATCAAAATTCAAGCTGGCTTATTTGCAAAAATTGACAATATTCTTATAAAATTTATACAGAAAGTCAAGGGACACAGAATAGCTAAAACAATCTTGAAAAGAAAGAACAAAGGTAGATGACTCACACATCCCTATTTCAAAACCTACTACAAAGCTAGAATAATTAAGACAGAGGGATACTGGCATAAGGCCATACATATGGATCAATAAAATAAAATTAAGAATCCAGAAATAGACCCTTATATTTATGATCAGTTGATTTTCAACAAGGGTGCCAACACTATTCAATGGAGGAAAGAATGGTCTTTTTAACAAATGATCCTTGGACAACTGGATATCCACATGAAAAAGAATAAAGCTGGACCTCTACCTCAGGCCATGTACAAAAATTAACTCAAAACGAATCACAGACCTAATGTAAGAGATAAAACTTAAAAGAAAATCTTGCAAGAAAACTTAGGAGTAAATCTTCATGAGCTAAATTAGGCAATGTTTTTTAGATATGACATCAAAAGCACAAAGAGCCAAAGGAAAAAAATAAGCTGCACTTCATCAAAATTAAAAATTTTGTGTTTCAAAAGACACAATCAAGTAAGTGAAAAGACAACACAATGGAGATAATGTATGCAAATCATATCTATCTGGCAAGGGACTTGTCATCATATCCATAATCCATAACATACAAAGAAATCTTACAACTCAATAATAAGAAGACAAACAATCTAATTAAAAAGCGGGCAACAGATTCGAATAGACATTTCTCTAAAAAGAAATGCAAATGGCCAATAACATATAAAAAGATGCTCAACATAATTGGTCATTAGGGAAATGCAAGTCAAAATCACAATAAGATGCAATTTCACACCCACTAGTATGGCTAAAACAAAAAAAAAAAGAGACAATGAGAAGTGCTGGTGACAATGTGGACAAATTGGAACCTTCATACATTGTTGCTGGAAATGTAAAATGGTACATTTTGAGGTCTTAACAGTTCCTCAAAATGTAAACCTAGTATTGCCATATGACCCGGCTAGGTGTATACACAGCAGTATTAAAAACATGTGTCCACACAAAAATTTGTAGTGAATGTTCACAACAGCATTATTCATTATTTAGCCAAAAAGTGGAAACAACACAAAGTGACCGTCAGCTGATGAGTGGATAAACAAGATGTACTGTATCCATTCCATGGGATATTATTTGGCAAGGAGAAGGCAGTACAGATACATGCTACAATAAGGATAAAACTTGAAAACACATTAAATTTTAAAAAGCCAGTCAAAAAAGATGATATATTGTGATTCTATTTCTAGAAAATGTTCAGGATAAGAAAATTCCATAGAGATAGAAAGTAGGTTAGTGTTAGACAGGGGCTAGAAGGAAGGGAAAATGGAGAGTGACTGCTAATGGCTATGGTACAGAGCTTCTTTTTGGCGGTAATGAAAAGGTTTCAAAATTAAATAATGGTGATTGATGGTGGCACATTTGTACTAAAAACAACTAAATTGCATGCTTTAAAGAGTAAATGTTTTAGTATTTGAATTACATCTCAACAAAGCTGTTGTAACAATAAAATAGTAAAGAAGAGTCTATACTCACTTGCTAATAACCAGATGTGTATACTATCTTTTCAGTAGTATTTTTTAAAGACAGAGAGAAGGGTAATTAATAAAAGGAATGAAAAGCTAATGATACATTTCAGCAATGAAGAGTGAGATAAACATTTTTGTTCAGAAGTATTTCTGAACTTCCTAAAATCAACAATGCAGGCTGCTGCTTAATTCATCTCAGCTAGAGACAGTCCTAATATGTAAATAAATCAACCCTTTATAAACCCAGAGTTTGATGATCAGAGGAAATTTCCATTGTAGAAATTCTCTCCTTCCTTTTGCAAAATGCACTTTTCCTAGAAGTTTAAATTAGGAAGCTAAGGTAGTTTGTCATTTCTTATCTTTTAATATTTGCATGAATTAAACAAAAATAAAGCCTCAACCCTTTTGGAGATTATAAACTGAAGTGTCACTCCAGACACAACACATTTACATGCTAGAAAAAAATACAAGTCATTTTAAAGTTTAGTTTTTCCATTTGTATTACTCTTTGTTTAACTAGGCTCCAAGTAGAAGATTGTCTGGAGGATCTGCACAAAGTGAGACTTCATTTTGTTTACCTCCGGATGCAAAGGCTTTAAGAACCTCAAGATACAGCCTTGCATTCCAGGGATGAAGCCAACTTGATCATGGTGGATAAGCTTTTTGATGTGCTGCTGGATTCGGTTTGCCAGTATTTTATTGAGGATTTTTGCATCGATGTTCATCAGGGATATTGGTCTAAAATTCTCTTTTTTTGTTGTGTCTCTGCCAGGCTTTGGTATCAGGATGATGCTGGCCTCATAAAATGAGTTAGGGAGGATTCCCTCTTTTTCTATTGATTGGAATAGTTTCAGAAGGAATGGTACCAGCTCCTGGATTAAGAAAATGTGGCACATATATACCATGGAATACTATGCGGCCATAAAAAATGATGAGTTCATGTCCTTTGTAGGGACACGGATGAAGCTGGAAACCATCATTCTCAGCAAACTATCGCAAGGACAAAAAACCAAACACCACATGTCCTCACTCATAGGTGGGAATTGAACAATGAGAACACTTGGACACAGGGTGGGGAACATCACACACCGGGGCCTGTTGTTGGGTGGGGGCAGGGGGGAGGGATAGCATTAGGAGATATACCTAATGTAAATGATGAGTTAATGGGTGCAGCACACCAACATGGCACATGTATACATATGTAACAAACCTGCATGTTGTGCACATGTACCCTAGAACTTAACGTATAAGAAAAATATATATATATATAAAATAAATAAATAAAGATGAGAAAATGGAGCCTCAGAGAGGTAAAAAAAAAGAATCTCAAGATACAATGTCTAAATGAAAGTAATCAACAACAAATCATTATTGTAGTAATAATTTAGTTCACTAAACCAAAAAACAAGACATGAATTATAGTCCCTCAAAGAGACAGCATAGTTGAAAAAAAAAGAAACAAAATATAGTAATAGGATCATGGATTTTATAATTGATGTCAGCAGAGGTCTTCTAACTACATTTTGTCCACCCAAAGAATTCCCTCCAAGGTATTTCTGAAAAACAGTTACACAAAGTATGCTTAGACAGGACCAGGTTGGACTTAGAGAACTGGGCAGGGCTGATTTCATTTTTGAGAGGGGAGGGGCAGGTGAAGCAGCACCTTAAAAGTTTAGTCTTAGTTTAATAGTTAAGTTTAACAGTTTAGCTTTAGAAAAATTAAAAATCAAAGGCAAATACATTTTATATGTATTTAAAAACAGTTGCTAGAAGCAAAACGTACTAGTTCACTCAGAAAACACAAACCAAACAATTGGTACTAAGGACAAATTTTTTAAGCTAATAGAAATACGCTATATACATGTTTAATCTGACAAAACATCTTTGCATAAATCAACACAACTAATTTGGAACAAATGAAAATTAAGCTCCCCTATTTTAAATACACAGTTCCGCCTTATCCATACTTGCCTTTCACACAGTTCTGAGATCCCGAGTAAGTGAAACTCAGTTATTTTGAAATCCCCAGAGCAGTTAACTTCTGTCTACTGTAACCCTCTTTCTAGAATAAAGTCTCTCAATCCCTCATAAGCAGTCCCAAGGGGCAACTGGATCTTTTATAGAGAAATACGGTAAATGACTCCTAACTGTTTCACTTTCAGAATATCTCACAGTGCATAAATTCAGTAGCTTAAATTTTAGAGATTTCAACCAAAAACAATAGCAATTCATAATTAGCACAATTAACACAATTCAGTTTTGCCATATATAAAAATAATCTTCTCATTGGTTAAGCCAAATGAACATGGAACTTGTAAAATTTCCAGCAAGATTTTGATCACGGGGCATTTCCTGTGCTGCAAAGAAGGGAGAAAAAAATGTGAGGAGGCCGACACTTCTGGGGAATTTAAGAGAATAGTAGACTTTGAGAGGTCTGTTTTTCTGCCTAGCAAGCTTTCTTAGTCCCTCTTATGGTAATAGGCTCCCAGTCTCCTTCTACAAGCTCAAGAGGGGCAGGCAGGTGTATGGACCCCATGACTCAGGCCTGGCCAGTCATACCACTTGATCCCATCTTGGTTCCTCCAACCACTGTCCCACCTGTAACAGCTATTATATCATTACAAGAAGCTGGTGACATGACTCAAGCCGAGCAAAAAAGAGTGCCTTTGTGTCTCCTGTATAGATTTTGAGAAGAAAATAAGTTTTATTTTTACTGGGGTCCCTACTAGAGGCCGTATCCCCTGCCCTTCAGCACAAGGAAGCAGGGCCAAGTAAAGTTCAGATGGGTGAAGGATTATGGCTATGTCAGGAACCTAGGTCAAACAGTGAAGGCCCTGATTTTTTTTTTTTTTTTTTGAGACAGAGTCTCCCTCTGTCACCCAGGCTGGAGTGCAATGGTGCGATCTCAGCTCACTGCAACCTCCGCCTCCCGGGTTCAGTTCAAGTGATTCTCCTGCCTCAGTTCCCTGGGTAGCTGGGATTACAGGCACCCGCCATTATGCCCAGCTAATTTTGGTATTTTTGTAGAGACGGGGTTTCACCATGTTGGCCAGGCTGGTCTTGAACTCCTGAACTCAGGTGATCCACCCACCTCAACCTCTCAAAGTGCTGGGATTACAGGCATGAGCCACCAAGCCCAGCTAATGTTTTTTAACTTTCTTTTTTTTTTTTTTGAGACAGAGTCTTACTCTGTCCACCAGGCTGGAGTGCAGTGGCATGATCTTGGCTCACTGCAAACTCTGCCTCCCGGGTTCAAGCGATTCTCCTGCCTCAGCCTCCCGAGTAGCTGGGACTACAGGCAACTGCCACCATGCCTGGCTAATTTTTGTATTTTTAGTAGAGACGGGGGGCGGGCGGGGGGGGGTGCCTCACCATGTTGGCCAGGCTGGTCTCGAACTCCTGACCTCAGGTGATCCACCCACCTTGGCCTCCCAAAGTGTTGGGATTATAGGCATGAGCCACCATGTCCAGCCAAGGGCCTTGATTTTTATATCACTCCCTTCAGTTCTTCTTTGAGCTAAACCAGTTATGTGAGACAAGAAATCCTCTCTGCTTTGAGTTGGAATTCAGTTACATGCAACCAAGAGAATCATAATTATTGCAAAGTTTCCAGAGTGATCTGAAAGACACCTCTTAGTCCTTGATTTACAGCAAGGATCTCAAGCTGGCAGTAAAACTTGCCTACAGGAATGCTTAAACTTAACTAAATTTGAATGCCTTTTTGCGAGACATGTTCTTCAGTTTGCTGTGGTCCCCAACATTCCCTAACATCTTAGGATCAACTGCTTCCTAAAGGTATGTTACTTGCCTAGACTTGAAAGCAGGGCTGCATCACTGCATAATCACAGTGCAGTCCATGCGAATGCCGGTGCCCCCTCACCTTTGTGCAGTGCCTAGCCATTTGTGTAGGCCACTGTGAAGCATGTCCCCTGGAGGTGTACAATATAGAAGTCCTGCGTAAAGGCATGTGAGTTTAGTTCCCCTAGTTTAGATACTGTCCTTTCTAAAAGCATGTTTTGGCCCAGGGCAGTGGCTTATGCCTGTAATCCTAGCACAGGAGGCAGATGGATTGCTTCAGCCCAGGAGTTTGAGACCAGCCTGGTCAACATAGCAAGACCCTGTCTCTGCCAAAAAAAAAAAAAAAAATTAGTTGGGTGTGTGGTGTGCTCCTGGAGTCCTAGCTACTCGAGAGGCTAAGGTGGGAGGATCACTTGATCCCAGGACTTCAAGGTTACTGTGAGCTATGATTGGGTGACAAGAAGACCCTGTCTCTAAATAAATAAGTAAATAAATAAAATAAGTCATAAAAGTAAAAATAAAATAAAAGCATGTTCTGGCAACATCATTCTAAGATCTCTTACAGCTTCAGTTCTATGATATATTGATCTGGTTATAAATCCTGATAGAGAAATAAAGTAGGTTACATGGCTAGCCTTCGTCAACCTAAACCAAATCATCAATCATTTTGGAAAGGAATATCCAAGGCCAAGAATATCTAGATTAGAAATAGTTACCCCACACAACCAAAATTGTTTTGTGTGAGAAAAATGAAACTGCAAACATGGATTAACTGGTAATTTATACATCTGCGGGCATACTGGTTATTAAACTAGAGTCACAAAGAAAGAGACCCACAGGCAAAATATAGCTAGCAGAGCATTTGTTTGGTCAACACTGTCTTTTTTAAAAAATTCAGTCTGAGTGGTCTTAGTCCCCAATTTAAGCACAGATACCACCACTCCATCTGGCCCTCACTAGTTTACTTCAGATTAATTGTTTGCCTTCCATGGAATGTTGAGTTTTGCAACTGCTATAAAGTGACTCAGATAAATGGTAAGAGTAACACTCTGATTAAAGAAAGAAAGAAAGAAAGAAAGAAAGAAAGAAAGAAAGAAAGAAAGAAAGAAAAGAAACTAAACTAAATATCAGCATCTTCCAGGTTTTGAAATGTCGTAAGCAATCCTCTCACACCATTAACCACCCAAGAAACCAAATGGCTATCCCACCCATCATTGTTCACATTTCGTGTGTGATAGGAAAACAAGAATGTTGGGTGCTTTCTTCTAAAACAGTCACTTTGGCACAATCAGGACTCCCACTCTTGGATATCTCACAAAACAGGATCAGCAGCTGCCTGTCTTGAATGATTTGCAAATTCTCCTCCTTGGATACAGGGGCTAAGTAAGGGGATCTCTTGAGATCCTTCCCAGTTCTATGATTCTCAGGGCTTTGTTCACAGTCTTGTCCCAACTACTTCAAACCAAACTTTGCAAGAAGCAAACACATCATGGGGCACCTAATCCAAACAGCCCCTCTTAAAGGATCTTCGAGGTCTTAAGCACACTAAACAGCTTCACATCCATAAGTTCATGGACCAAATCCAGGCCAGAGTGCTCTCTAAATGAGGCTGTTTATTATTTCCCAAGTTTCTGAAGAAACCGTTTTGTGTTAGTATTAATAATAAGCAGCTTAAGTCTGGTAAAAGAACAGAAATGCATGAAACTTTAATGAAGAAAATGACCCCTTCTGAACATAATCCAGTTCTAAATGTTTCAGTTTGAAGTCCAGCATACAGTATTGAAAAGTGAGGGCTGCATTTTTATCTTATTTACATTATAAAAAGTATATATTTACATTATATTATACATTATTTTATCTTATTTACATTATCTTATTTACATAATTTATAATTACATTATAAAAAATGCATTTACTGTAGCATTTCTGACCAATATTTTTCCTATGATCCTTCAGAATAAACACTTAGATTAATTAAATATATAATCATTTTCAGATAACCATCTAAGGAGGCAACTAAAATGAAACCACAAAATTTTATACAACAATGTGGGAGAAATTCATTGTCTATAGAAATTTATTAGGACAGAATCGTGCATAAAATCTGAACTGGTTACTTTGGGTTTCTTTTATAGGGATACAAAAGAAAATAGAAAATACTTTTTCCTAAAATCCTGAGTTCTCTGTCAGTAAATTGATCAATCACATTTCTTAAGCATTCATGATATTATATGAGAAGCCTGGTACTGTGTGCTTTGTGAATTTACAGGAAAAAAAAAATTCTTCTCAAGAAATTTGCAGTGCAAGGTAAAGCAAGATAACCACCAAGATAAGCATCTTTAAATATCTGAGCATGTGCACATATTCACCTGTATAACCTTCTAATTTACACATCAATCTATAATTTTTAAAAACCCAAAGGGCTAATTTATAAATGTGTTTGGAGAGATAGAAAGCATTTAAAGAAAGTCTTCTACAAAAATTTATAATTAGAGAGGCCAAGTGAGAAAACTGTGTTTTCCTAGAGACTCCATCCTTTTCCTTGCCAAGTGTAAAGTAAATCGAGCTTCTGGGTCCTCCAGCCATCTGAATAGGTGGAAACAGAGATCCGAGAATCTAGGTGAAGAAGTAGGGGAGACAGGCATAGAAATGAAAAGACAAAGGGCCTATCTTCAGGGGAGGATCTGTCTGAGAAGTTTGGAGAGAGACTGGAAAGCGGAAAGTTGAGCACTGCAGGATGGCGGGGGAGGGTAGCAGGTGGCTGCCGTCAGTGTGGTGGGTGCTGAGAGAAGCAGCAGTGGAGGAAAATGCGTTTCCCTAACTCCTATAATTCCTGAGAGCCCACATACAATCTGACCTTTGAGTACTTCCAAAAGTGACACTGTACACTGACTGGACCACATGGAGCTCTAGTTTAGATTTAAGTTATGAGCCTTTTTCTCCATACTTCTAGTCTCAAGATTACTTGCCAAATAAGACCTTATTTGACTTCAATTTTGTGTAAAATGGAAGACATTTTGCACATTTTTGGGAAAATTCAAACACACTTTGATTTCAATGGATAATAATCAAGGAGGAAAATTGCCCTTTGGCATAGAAAGGTAAATAAAAATACATCTCATGAAGCTGCTAATAATCATCATGGCTTTATTTGCATCATGGATACACAACGATCTAATGAGATTTAGGAGCCAGAGTTTGAAGCAGAAAGGTGTGGCTTGATTGAGATCACTCATAAAGGGATCAGGAAAAAGGAACAGAAAAGACTGTTCAGCTAAGTAATGTCAAACTACCCTGCAGGCCATAGACAATTATGGCCTATGGAACTATGTATGGCCTGTGAACTAGAGGGGCATGGCAGCAGAGATGATGAAATCAGTCTTGGCTGGGCAAAAATCACACGAGGAGTCTTCTAGGGGCACACTATGAGAAGAGATATAGGGAAAATAGAAGGGAATAGTGTTCACAAAATTCCGTGAGACACATATCCTACTATTAGCTTATGGATAGTAGAGATACAGCATCATCTTACTAACTGCAATGAACAATACAGTCTCAATAAACTAAAAAATCTTTAGTCTTGCCAGGTACAGTGGCTCATGCCTGTAATCCCAGCACTTTGGGAGGCCAAGCAGGTGGATTACCTAAGGTCGGGAGTTCAAGACCAGCCTGACCAACACGGTGAAACCCCGTCTCTACTAAAAATACAAATTAGCCGGGCGTGGTGGCGTATGCCTGTAATCCCAGCTACTCAGGAGGCTGAGGCAGGAAAATCGCTTGAACCTGGGAGGTGGAGGTTGCAGTGAGCTGAGATCGCACCATTGTACTCCAGCCTGGGCAACAGGAGTGAAACTCCATCTCAAAAAAAAAAAACAAAACAAAACAAACAAAGAAAAACAAACAAAAAAACTTTAGTCTTAAAGCAATCACCATTTATATATTCAAATTTTTCTGTAGCACTTCAAACTCAGTCTGATCAAAACTGAACTTATGTTTTTTTTCTTTTAGACATATTCTTCCTCTTTCATTCTCTAGGCAATCTATTCTGAGACTTCTATTATCTCCCATTTTAGAGATGAGAAAATTTAGCCTTAGAGAAGTTAACTATATCAAGGTCACACTTAGTAAGTGATAAGAGTAATACCAAAGTCTATTTGATTCTAAATATAATATTCTTTCTACTACCTAAGTTATAAAACAAACCTACCATCTTTTTATAAAGCTAATAATAATCAGATATGTTTGGTAGAATAATATCCAGTTAAACAGTTGTCTCAAAGTTGCTCTCCACAGAAGTTAGTAGGAAAAAATAACTTAAAAGTCTTAGAGATTAAGTATACTGGCTTCATGTTTTTAAAATGCGAGGGCTAATCAGAATAAACAGATTAAGATCAATATAACGGTTTAAGTTATCTACAATTAAATTACATATTCCACTACTTTTCATTTGTTCTCATCTTAAAACCACACCTTTGTTGCTGACACAGCCTGTAGCAAGCATCTTACAGGTAGGAATGCAGTGCAGATTTGCAATACTTTCCTCTGGAGTACCTTGATTTTCATTAATTACATAGCACAATCTTGCAAAGTACTGTTTTATAACACCACTATCTAGGATGGGTAAAAACAGGAAAGAAAATTAACTACAACAAAAAATCTGTATCACCATTCAGAGAGAAGCAAAGGATGTGACTTTATCATCAACATGTTTACAATAGGATTAAAAGAATAGAAAACAGAAAAGAATTACTAATCTTTTTAAGGTTTTCCTCCTAAAGGCAGATATGAAAGGAGAAAGTACCAGAGACTTGGGGCACAGCCTCTAGGAAAGTCAGAAGATTCAGAGGAGAGGAAAGAATAATGCAGATACTTTCCTCAATTTCCTTTGATGCCTGACATCTAAAAACTCTTTTCAATTCCCCATCTGGAACCCAAGGACCAAAAAGGGATTGCAACTTGTAATGAGTGACTAAATATATTTTACACAAAAGGTAAGGTCAAGCTGCTGGAAGCCTCTTAAAATCTAAAGGAGAGGGAGAGGGCAGAAGTGCTCCCCACCACTTCTCCCTAACTTCAGTTAGCTGACTGTTAAAGAGGAACAACAGAGGGCTTTGTGAGGCTGAAAAAAATCCCAACTCTGTAGGATGCCGGTGGGGGGTAGTTTCATAGACTTCTCTGGGCATAAAGCTGGGAATGTGGTCCTCTGAAGGCACAGGAAACAGAATAACTCTTGAGTATAGAGCAGAATATACCAGAACTAAGAAGGCAGGCCACTGAAAGCAGTTTCCCGTGTCCTTTTAAATAGTAGAAATTAGTTCATTGGTATGGCCCATTATTAGGACCTTGTTGTTTTCACCACAGCACTATAGGACGTGGGGGCCTATGTAATGGCATTAACAAGCTACTCTTTACAAAGATGACAAGAGGAAAGAGTCCGATAGTAACGAGAGGCTAATAACATTTAATGTGATTGAGATGAACAGGTGGGGAAGACAGTCAGTCATATTTACTGGTATCTACAGCAAGGAGGACAAGACACCAGGGTGGTGGGGGACAAACTGTTTCTTTGAAGATAAAATGGAGGTCATCATAAAGCAAATTCCCCAGCTCCTCTCTCCACTCTCAGCCTCCACCCCCACAAACAGAAGTTTATCTCTCTTAGTCTCATCTATTCCTCCTCCTCTCTGGTCATAGAGATTGGCCGTCCTCCTATCTAAAGCTAAACTCTTCCAGCTGAATTCTAGATTGTACCCATTCTTTCCTGTCTGTCAGGGACCTTTCTCCATCAATTAACTCCTCTCCTGTATTTTCTACTTCTCCCTTCATATTAATTGCTCCTCCTTAGAAAATAAACAGGCTCAAGTTTCTCCCATTACTGAAAATACCTTTACTTATTTTTGATTATACAAGTAATTCATAAATGCATGAATTAACAAATGCTTGTTAAAAATATTTACATTTAAAGTCTCCTTTGAATATAATTCTCCTCCTCATCCTCCAACTTTCACCATAGTTATCGCTGTTAGTTATCCCTTTTGTATGCATACTTCCAGACATTTTACATATAGCACAGCTTCATGTCTTTTTACCTTTTTAAATAATTGGCTTAATATTCTACGTATTCCTGCGCAATTTGTTCACTCAACAATGTCTCTCACATCAGTAGATCCACCTAATTTTTTATACTCTAAGTCTGTATAGTATTTCACAGTATAAATGTATCGTTTATTTAACCAATTCTCTGCTGATGAACAACTGGATCCTTTCCAATTACTTGCCATTACAAACAGTGCTGGAAGGAACAACAGTCTTTACCATTTCTCTATAGTAGGTATACATTCAGTTTTGATAGATACTGACAATGATGTCCTCTAAAGTGGCCTTGCCAATGTATATTCAGACCTGTAACAGAAGAGTTCCTATTTCCTCACTTGCTTTTGATATTATCAAATTTTTATTTTGCCAATTTGATGAAAGAGATATTTCTTATTTTAAATTTTCTTTTATCTGATTGTAATGTGATCAAACATTTTCATATTCATATTTTATATTCACGTTAAGCATACTTTTATACGTTTTTTGACCAATTATATTTCCTCTTTAGGGAACTGCCTGTTAATGTCCTTTGACTACTTTTGTAGTAGATTTTGAGTCTCTTTCTTATTCTTTGGGAGGAGTTATTTCCATTTAATCATATTAATCCTCTGCTTATGTTGCATATTTTCTCCCAGATAGTAGCTTACCTTTTAATACTGCTTATAGTGGCCTTTGTTGTCCAAAAATTTTATTTTAATTAAGTCAAATTTTTTTCTTCATTTTTTTTGCATTTCATGTCTTCACAGGGCCTTCAGTTCTCCAACATGATAAATGTGTTTTCTGCATTTCCCTCTATTTATTGTTTTCTTAATTATTTAACTTACATTTTTTAGTAACATGAGTTAGAATCTAACTTTGTTTTTGCTCAGTTAATAACTAATTTCTCCAGTACCATTTATTAAATGATCCATTATTCCCTGATACATTTTAAATGCCACTTATATCATTAACTAAGTTCTCATATATACATGGGTCTATTTCTGAGCTAACCATTTTATCTCAACAATTTATTTGTTTATTGTCAATAAACAAACTGACAATACAACACTATTTTACTTATCATAGATTTATAATACAGTCTGATATCTGCCAAGCAAGTCTACCATCTTTGTTCTTTTCCAAAATTATCTTGACTATTCTTGTACATGTTCCTTTCCTTGTGAATTTTAAAATCAGTTTTGTCAAGTCTCAGTTGCTCCTAATTTATTTGACCACAGAAGACATTTTTCAAAGATCAATGTTCAAAAGAACACACTTCAGTGATACACTGACTTAGGCTGTATCTGGCCCAAGGATTTACTTTGTTTGATCAATATAGTGTTGACCCATTCATGTTTTTTAAAATGTTTGACACTCATCTGAAAGCCAAAAGTAAAGAATAAATGTGCAACAGGGTGTGTGTATGTGTGTGATAGGGTGTCTCTGTCTTCCCAAATGGCAACAACTGGCTGAGGCCAAGTGGTGACTACTCCCTTCATTTACATGGGCTCTAAGTCCAAGTTCTCCAGTTTCTGAAATGGGCCCATTTCGATTATGTGTGCTACCTACCTATACTCTAGACTGCCTTTGCCTCTGAGAACACTGCATTATTGTAATACCATTCTAAATAGTTTCATGTCCCTCAAATTCATCCTCTGTCTACACTGCCACCAGAATGACTTTTCTATACACATATAACTGGGCCTCCACTATGATTTAAATTATTTGGCAACTTCCAATTCCTTTTAGGATAAGATCCAATTTTTTCTGTATGCCACATGAGGCTTTCCATAACCTGGAATATTTCTCACATGTCATTTCCCATGATTTCCACATTATCCTTTCTCTAGCTGTTTAACCTGTCTACAGTACCCAAAAGATTTCCCACACATTCATTCATATTTCAATTTAAGTTGTTCTTCCTGTGTAGAAGGCCAAGTCATCTACATCACAAACCTCAGCCTCCATTCTTCTGCCCCAACCAAATTTCTTTTGTCCTCACATTCATTTGCATGGAGAACTCCTATATTTCCACATTTCAGACTCAATTCCATTGCTACCTGCTTTTTAAAGCTCTTTCTGACCACTTGCCCCATAACTCTCACCTTCCTAAGAGAGAATGGAGGCTCTTCTTCTATGTCCCTCTTCCACTCATCATACCTTTCACTAATTTTCTTGTCTATTTGACTCATAAGATTGTGTTCTTTGGCCGGGCATGGTGGCTCACGCCTATAATCCCAACACTTTGGGAGGCTGAGGTGGGTGGATCACCTGAGGTCAGGAGTTTGAGACCAGCCTGACCAACATGGAGAAACCCCGTCTCTACTAAAAATACAAAAAAATTTGCCAGGCCTGGTGGTGCGTGCCTGTAATCCCAGCTACTCGGGAGGCTGAGGTAGGAGAATCGCTTGAACCCTGGAGGCGGAGGTTGCAGTGAGCAGAGATAGCACCAGTGCACTCCAGCCTGGGCAACAAGAGCGAAACTCCATCTCAAAAAAAAAAGAAAAAAGAAAAAAAAAAAGGTTTTATTCTTCTTGCAGAGAAATTCTTTATTTCTCTTAAGCCTAGGTCAGGGTAACTAGAATTTTGTAGGGATTGAAAAAATCTGTGGAATGAAGGAAGAGAAGTGTAGAGAGATGAATGAAGGGAGGGAGAGCTTAATAAATCAGTCATTGCCTGCACTCTTGGGGAGCTTAGAGTCATATAGAGTTCTGCTCATTATTTAAAATAATAGTATAGCCAGCGTGACCAAACAACTAAATCTCCAAAGAGAGAATGGACTTAACTTTCTCCCACATTTTAACAAGCAGTGTCAACACAATTACATAATTGTTTCTCTGACAAACATAAAAGTTGTGCAAGTAAAGTAAATATCACAGACAAATTATCTCTCTCTAAATTTAAAAGTAAGGTTTTTAAAGTTATTTTGCCTTGCAGTTGATATAATTTTTATTTTCATTTCCAAAATACTAAAGGAATTTGGTGGAAATAAGTGATCGAATATGCAAATATTTACTGTGCACATAGGTATTTAGTAGTCTGCAATGTTAAGATAGCCTGCACTCACATAAGACTTAAGGATTCTCCTTGGCAGATATGAACATTCTTTCATATTGAAGACCACTCAGCTATACCACCTTTGTCAAACCCCAAAAGTGATCTCAACAAGATGCCTAAACCCTACAATCACTTTTACAGAACATTCTTAGATTCTGACTGGTTCCATTTTGGCATTTTTAGCATCTGTCTAGCAGACTTGTGCATATACATAAAACACACAAAATTCCATTAGTACAACATTAAAGTTTCAAATTTAAACATACAGGAAACTGAGAAGTTATGGCTCTCATAATAACTGTAACTTACCCATTTTATGTATGCATTATGTGTTAAGTTTAGACACAAAAAGGTTAAGCATTGAGCTGGCATACTCATATATACACAGTCCAAATTCTCATCTTGCTTAGAATATCTACCTTTATTTTAAAAGAACTATACACTAATATAATCTGTTTTCTATATACATAATGGAGACAGAAGGAGAGTTGGAACTGAGCCTATTTCATTAAATATTCAGGTGGTTTAAAGTTATTCACACTGCATTAAAAATTGCTATGCATTTTCGGACACTTTTAGTTCGGAAAATAAAAACAAAAGTATAGAAAGCACCTATTTCCAAAATAAAGGAAGTACGAGATTTTTAAAGTATCTTGAAAATTCTATAATGGTTAAAAGACCAAAAAAATTATACCTAATACTCTTACAACATGTTTCCAATTCTATTTATTATTTTATTTTCCCTCCAGATTCTCATTATATATAAATTTTTGAAGGAATTCTGTCAGCTTGGAAATAAGAACTCACCTCTTGTGAGGAGCATAATTTGCCTCACATATAAGAAAAAAAGCTTACTTTGTTCTACCACTACTTAACATGTTAAGTTCAGAGTCATACATTAAATAATTTCCCTGTGAGCTGAGGCCAAGCACATATATTTCCACCCAGGGGGAAAAGTTTAGAGTCAATGAAAACACAACTCAATAATGAAGGTCTTCACACAGGGGGCAGTTAGCCAACATGGTGTGTGGCTCCTACTTGAATGCACAAAAAAGACCTACTAAATCACTTAAGTACTGGGGCTTTCTTTTGAGTTATAAAGAATCACACAAACTTTGGGCTAGAAGGACCAGTCTGGGTTGTCCTTCTGCTTTCAGGTAGGCCCACCCAAACTATCCTGGACAGAGGAGAAATTGAACTATATTTACAGCCTGCCAAGAGAATCCACAATTGCTCCTAATAACTCATTCTAGTATTAAATAGCTCTGTCAAGAAATCTTCCCAATATCTCCAATAAATCCTTTGTGCTGAAATTTAAACCGGAAAACTGGCCCCAATGTGACTTGAACATGTGGTCTCCTAACCTGGAGGTTATATTGTACCATAAAGATGCATACAATAGGACCAATTCTTTATGTATTTTATAGCAATTTCCCAACAGTTACTGAAGAGTATCTGGGCCAAGAAAGTGCTACATATAGAAAATATATGTCCTATTTTGTTACGGTATTTGGAAAATTATCTCATTAATCTGATTTTCTTTCTTTAATTGTGGTCACCATTCTAAGGCCAGCAAAGCAGCAGATTACAAAAAAAGTGTATTTCTGTATATTGCCACAGAACTGGTCAGTAAGCACTCAAATTGGCTTTCTCACCTTATTAATGAATGATCAAGTGATACGGTTTGGGTGTGTTCCCACCCAAATCTCATCTTGAATTGTAGTTCCCATAATCCCCACGTGTTGTGGGATGGACCTGTGGGAGGTAAATGAATCATGGGGGCGGTTACCCCATGCTGTTCTTATGACAGTGAATGAGTTCTCATAAGATCTGATGGTTTTATAAGGGGCTTTTCCCCCTTTGCTTGGCACTTCTCTCTCCTGCCACCATGTGAAGAAGGACATGTTTGCTTCGCCTTCTGCCATGATTGTAAGTTTTCTGAGGCCTTCCCAGCAAAAGCAGAACTGTGAGTCAATTAAACCTCTTTCCTTTATAAATTACCCAGTTTTGTGTATTTCTTCACAGCAGTGTGAGAATGGACTAATACATCAAGTCATGGTTGATCAGCACAACAAATCTGAATCAGTAAAATTTCACTTTGAATGATTTACTTAGCCTCAAAGAAATGGCTTAAATTTGGCCATGCTGAGAACTGGCCAACCTAGCCATATTAAATTTATCCATAAGTTTATATATGTAGTATAATATGTTTCATTAAAATCTCCAATCTGGCCTGGCATGGTGTCTCATGCCTGTAATCCCAGCACTTGGGGAGGCCGAGGCAGTAGGATTGCTTGAGCTCAGGAGTTTGAAACCAGCCTGGGCAACAGAGTGAGACCCTGTCTCTAAAATAATTTTTAAAAATTTCCAATAAAAAATGTGTTGAAGTTGTATTATTTATTCCCTCAAGCATCTATTTCTTCATGCATTCATAGCAAAAGACATTTATGGTGCCCCTTTTTCCACAGCAATGTTCTAGGTACAATATAATGGATGCATGTAAAATTCATGTGCTGTCACAGTTCATACGGAGTATACAAGCTAGTGTATACTTGGGTGGGAAGTCCTAAGCACAGAATCTTTCTCAACCGCTTGAGGTATCATCAAATCATCTCAGCATAGTGGGTGAGTAACTACCTATGGGGGTATAAGCTGTCTAGTTGTGTTGTCAATGTCCCTTCGGAGGTTTTGAAGTTATAGCTTGCTAAGTTCAGATACATAAAATGCTCACACAATCTTGTCAATGAAGCTTTCCTTCAACAGCAGAAATCCTCTACCTTTTTTTTCTGGGTCATCCAAAACAGTCTTTCAAAAGCTAAATTTTTTTTTGAGCTAAGGAGCCCCAATATTCAATTTATTCGATTCAGTGAGATGAATGTTGTCAGTCTAAGCACAGTCAGCACTGTGCCCCTCATAAAAAACTTTACAGCAACTTCAAAATACTAACATGAGTGTGAAATAACAAAATAGATTAATGTGATCCAGAAGCGTCCATTTTCTTTCTAAATAAATCAAAAGTTAAAATATAATTATTCTGGTCAACAAAGCCATTATGGATTATTCCATAATTATATCAAGTTTTCTAAGGCAAGTAATAGTTTCCTTTTCACTGCCTGTGAGTCCCCATGAAATCACCTTGCAGTGCTTCACACAAAAATCTGGTGCTTACATGTTTGTTTATTGCACTGCTGCTTTTTCCCTGAGAGCTGCAAAATCCAAATTGGTCTTACTTCCATAAGACCATAATTATTGCACTATGGAATCAATCACTCTGAAAAGCTGATACTGTTTCAAAATGAACCTACTCACAGTGACTATAACTCACAACCAGGCTGAAAAGACACATCAAATTCTGCTATTTTAAAAGCAATTTTTACTCTACAATTATGCATTGATAAAATATTTGATAATAATAATTTTTTAAATGGTTAGGCTCAATTCTTCACCAAGATTCACTTCTATTTTTCTGATTTTATTGCCACACTAATCCTTTGATTTGCATTTCTCATAATTATTTTTATTTAACTGATTATAGAAATAGTATATGTTCTTTGTCAAAAACACATCATGTCATACAGCACAAAGTTAAGTACTCCATAATGTTCCACAAAGATAACCCAGGTTAACATATGCTATGTACACTTTTAGATTTTTTTCTGTGTCTATTGCCTATGTGTAAAGAATTCATTCTTTTTTTCTCTCTCTCTCCCTTAACTCATTCTCTTCCTGGGGACCAACTTTCCTCTACCCCAAGAATGTAAGCATCCCATTCTACCTATGGTAGTAAAACTGAGAGGAAATAAAAATCAAACATCAGAAAAGGAGTTAAAAGGGCATGCAGTAGCGGGGAAAGAAGTAGGGCCATAGCAGAAAAGAGAGGTACAAGAAGGAACAGAGCCTTGGGAGCTAATAAGGAGTACCCTGGGAGAACAAAATAAAGGCCCTTTCCGTGAAAAGCCGTTGAAGAGTTACACAGAACAAAAGGGTCACTACCAGATGGATACCTTCTAACCTCCCTCAATCCTTCTCCACTTAGCAACCAGGAGCCATCTTTGAAAAATACAAATCAGGTCAGTCTCTGACCAATAATTCATCATACTGATATTCTGATTTTTCAACCTGGTATACTCAGCCATCCATGGATGGTAAAACTGCTTACTTTAATTGTACTGGAGACCTTGGCACCCCAGGAAAGTTTAAATAATTAAGAATAGAGATAAAGTAAATCAAACCCATACTCTTAATAACATTATAGAATATATTTAAGTGTACTTTTCATATCATTGGGCCATTCTAGTTGTTTTATTTAAAGAGTTTGAAATACTTAAAAATATTATGACTTTAATTTAAAACATATAATCAATTCCAGATTTGGGATATTAAGTGGTGTAAGTACATTTGATTCAATTTTGGAAATAGCATTAAAATGTTAAGAGAGGCTGATTTACTATGGGTATATGTTTGCTTACTATTTTTTAAGTTGCTATGTGCTTAAAATGATTTGTTAGGTTTGTAAGTCTGCCCCACAAGGCATTTGAGGTGTTTGAGACAGTCACATACATTACATGTGTAAATGAGGTTTAAAATGTTTAAGGGAATTTAATTAGCTAAATTAGAATTGTAATTAATTGTTTAGGAAAATTTCAACTGTTAAATTTGAATTAATCAAATGTTAATAGGGTAACAAATGAAAGAGACTATTCTTATATAATAACTAAATGTAAAAATAGTCTCATAAGATTTGTAGGTTGAAGTAGGTGTTTGAACACACAGCTTTTATAGAGACAATATCAATTCGAAACCCAATGTAAGAAGTCCTTTTAAAGATTTATCTGGAGGCTAAGGCAGAAGGATTGCTTGAGTACAGGAGTTTGAGAACAACCTGGGCAATATACTGAGCCCCTATCTCAAAAAAAATTATCTTGAATAATAAAATACTCAAACTGAAAACAAGATCCACAAAAGCAAGGTGTTTCTCTGCCTGGCGTACCCCAATGTCTTCAGAGCCAAAAATTGTCTGCACACACACATAGTCAAAAATACGCGTCCACATGGAGTTGTTTATTCAACTTCAGCTTAGTATCTTTTTTTCTTTTCTTCTTTTCTCTCTCTCTTTTTTTTTTTTATAGGGTCTTGCCCAGGCTGGAGTGCAGTGGCACCATCATGGCTCACTGCAGCCTCAACCTCACAGACTCAATTGATCCTCCCACTTCAGCCTCCTAGTAGCTGGGACTACAGGTGCACACCGCCATGCCTGGCTAGTTTTTGTATTTTTGGTAGAGATGGGGTTTTGCCATGTTGCCCAAGCTAGTCTCAAACTCTTGGACTCAAGTGATCCACTGGCCTCGTCCTCCCAAAGTGTGCCTGGTGGAACTTGCTATCTTTCTGAAGATCAAATTAGAGCAACCAGTCACAGGAACACTAATGGAAAAAAATCTGTTTTGGACTATTTGTAGATACAAGGAAATTTAAATTTTGAAACAAGATTTCCAAGGGACACTGTGGAAAATAAGAACTATAAGTATAGGACTATAAGGATTTGTTCCTTGGTTGGTGATTGCAGATGGATGACAGGAAGAGGAGAAGTAGGGAGTTAAGCCATAAACTGCAGAGTTAGAAATAAAAGTAGTCAGTCCCAGAGATCCCTCAAGAAGCACATGGGACCATGTGCTACTGAAACCAAAGGCAGAAGCATGGCCAGTTGCAGGTGGGAACTGGGAAAGGTCAGAATAAGTATAATACAGGCACTTTTAGATTTGGCTATAAGAAGCTTTATGAAAATATGTTGATGAGGGGAATTTATAAAATATGAATATAGCACAAATCAAACTGGAGAGAACGGAGCCAATGCAGCAGAGTGCACAGTCACTTCTAAGACATGAGCTGAGCAGGGAGGAAAGGAATTACAAGGAGCAGTAAGTTAAAAAAAATAGATAAATCTAAAGAAGTAATTGCCTTTTGTTAAAGAAAAAAACAGTTGTGATATTTGGCTTCCCTTAAAGGTACAGACTGAAGACAGCATTTTATAATGACATCAAAAGAGAGAATGAAGGTGTGGCAGAGATCACATCACATGAGACAGTGTAGTTTTAAGAAAGAAATGTAAAGCAATTTAATCACCACTACTAGATACCTAAGCAGATAAATAAGCCAATAAACATGTTGAAAGATTTGTTCCTAGTACTTATATGTATTAAGCAAGCTTCCTGTCCTCATGAGGCTTACATTTTAGTAGAACTAATTAGGACTGGAACTAATATCAAGTTTAAAACAAAATAAATGCTGTATATAATATGATTTCACGTGGTGATAACTGTTATAAATAATAAGAAACCAGGGAAAGGAGAGAATCAAAGGATTGTCTAGGATTGTCAAGACATAAACAAGCAGGTCAGAGAGTTCAAGCTTGGTGTTTCAGGGTGGGGTAGTAGCGATCCCAAAGAAGAAATAGAAGGTAAGGTAGCCTGAGAATCACCATTTCTGGAAACATCAATCAGTCTTAGACAATGACCTTACAATTACCTCTAATTTCCCCCACATGATGGCAGCCTTGATTCTGAGACTGAAAACTATTAAACTCATTTTTCACCCCTAAACATCTCACTGACAGATGGCTGCATGCGGAAGGAGCTGGGATTATGTGTCCTCTCAAGATATTTCTAAATAAATTCGTGTCCTCCGGACCCAAAATATACAGTGTTTTTCATGACAGTTGACTTCACATAAAAATTTGTGAAATATATTTGGTAGTGAATTAGATATGTAAAGAAGGAACATGAACTGGGTGGGAGCAAGATTTAATTGCTTGAAGTACAGGAGATCTGGAAGACAAAAAATAGCTAAGACATATATATTTTTCTCTTCTCTAGCTTGAATTAAAGTTGTGAGAGTAAGAAGTTAGAGACGCTTTTTTGCATCCTTTCCAAAATTTGAATAAATCATTTGTTCCCTATGTGATTTAATTTGGGAGTCAATCATAATCCCCAAAGATACAATCCTTAATACCGTAATGCCAAATGTTGAAATCCTGGAAGATCAAAATCTGGGAAGAATAATTTTAAATATTCTCTAAAAGATATTTATTTACATTTTTAAAAGGGAATTTATTTGAGAAACACAAAAACATGACAAAACATTTCATAGGTCATTTTACACAACAGACTAGGCAATAATAACATATTTTTACAAGTGTAAACCCTCATGTATAACAATGACAGTTGCAGAGTATGAAGTTATGAGCATATGAGCTGTATTCATAAACAAATAGGTCGAAAAGGGAAATGTATAAACATATACTACTATGGTTGGCAATTGCATGCACCCAGCTTTATAACTGTGGTCATCTGAAACACCAAAATGAACAACCTAAGACGAAATTGATGGAAAACCATGATGGGTCACCCCCATATATTCAGTTATCCAAAGAGCCAAAATCTCGAGAAATTTTATCTTTCACAAATGCAGACGTACAAAATGGACATCTCTTCATTTAGAGAGGAAGTTACAATGTTTTTGCATACATGCACAATGCTTACACACAAAGTCAATATGCACAATGCTTACACACAAAGTCAATGTGGTGACAATGCACTTTTGTGAAGTCAAATTTGCAAAAACTGCATACAACAAATGAGAATTCTCTAAAAGTCTCAACACAATTTATAACTCTAGTATTGGAAATGATGTGAAGATGAAATACATAGCATAATTAATTGGAAAAAAATAATGCCGACAATTTTAAATAGTTAAAAAAACTATAAAAAGTAAATAAAACCCAAATCCAAAAAGAAAATTCAACATGAAAAAGTGTATTACAGGAATAGACTATAAGCAACTGCACAGATCTGTCCAGAAGAGCTGGCCAACTTTCACGATCATTAATTATATTTTGAAGTCTTACATCGCAGTGAAGAGCTGTTTTTTTTTTCTTTTAGGACATAACTCTCCTTGCAGAATATGTTCACATTAATTTTCTATGTGACGCTGATCTTCCTGAAATCCTTCTATTATTTGGCATGCACAAACATGAAGAGTGTCTATTAAATTTTCCCATTTTCTGTGCTGTGCTTCTTTGTTGTTTTGGGTACATGGAAATCCATTCTGCATACACTCATATACAGACCACAAATTTGACAGAAACAATACTGGTGATCAAACAGCAACACCATGTCTTCTTATCCTACCATGAACATAATTATTTTCAAATCAGTTACTTCACTGGCTTCTTCAGGCAAATGTGGTTTTAATTCATTAAAATCTGGAATGTCATCAGCTGGAAGGAATGTCATACAGGCAAATCATGCATTTTTAAATTCAAGTATTCGTGGCCAATCCACTCATCTGAATTTTTCACCAAATGCACTGGGCAAAAACAAACTTTGTTGGTAACACCTTAAAAATCATTTTTAGAAGCCTTGATCACACCTAATTCCAAATCTGTCATTATGGTTTGGCAATTCAGTTGAAATCTATTTTCTTCTGCAAAGTCCACCACATCTTTGAATAAGCATTTATAAAGTACTTTGTTTTTTCCAGTCATTAGTACATAAACAAGCATATCAGTTCTAGAATTTTATGATCTAACAGGAGCTATGAATTGTATATATGAATATACAACTATGAATTGTATACAGTTGATTTAAAAAATAGTGGGGACAGCTTTGAAAGTGCCAACCATTAGCCAAAGTGAAAAAAGTGCTAGTTTTTATGTTAGATTTTGTGGTAAATATATACGTAAGAACTCTATCTTCTTCTACAGTCAAATCTCTAGTCAAGGATAATTCACCACCTAGTGTGTTCTGTAACACTGGAGAAAGCTCAATATTAGCAAGTGTCTTTGGTCCAGAAAGTTGCTGAGCTTCTCGAATTCTTTTTACTCTCTGACAAAGGATGTTTTTTGAAGGCAAGCATGGTGTTATGTGTGAAGGGGCAGAAGTCGTACATGATTGAACAATTTGGCAGGGGAGATTTCTTGCATTTTTCGCCTGTGTTTTCACTTTTTCTATGATCTTTGAAACACTTGCAGCACTCGTATTTGAAGGGGGATTGTGGCCTACAAATTTTGTAAATATATTCTGTCTATCTGAGAGTCTAATTGTGTGGCCATTGCAATTAAGCAATTTTCTGCTTTTGCAGCACCAATAATAATTAGCTTTTAAACTTTTATCTTTCATTTCATTAAGTTCCTCATACACTTAATTTATCACAGCCTTTTTGCACGGGAACAGTTTCACAGATCTCTTTCACTGTGTTGTAAGAAATAGAGTAAAAAGGAATGATACTCAGCTTCCCGATACCAAATCTCTATTAGTCAGGGTTTCTCCAGAGAGAACCAATAGGATATTTACATAGACAAATGAGAGAGGATTTATTAGGGGAAAGGCTCACACAATTATGGTGACTGAGAAGTCCCACAACAGGCCATCTGAAAGCCAGCGACCCTGGGATGCCCATAGCTGGCTCAGGCTAAAAGCCTCAGGATGGGGTGGGAGGGGTGGGGATGAAGTCAGTCCTGGAATCCAAGGGCCAATGAGCCTGGAGTTCTGACGTTTAAGGCAACAGAAGAAAAGTCTGTCCTAGCTCTCAGAGACCAGTTTGCCTTCTGTATTTGTTTTCTCTGGCCAGCACCAATAGGATGGCACCCGCTAACACTGTGGGCAAATCACACCCACCTAATCCACTCGGACTCATACACTAATCTCCCTTGGAAACACCCTCACAGACACACCCAAAAGAATGCTTTACCAGCTTTCTAGATATTCCTTAATCTAGTCAAACTGACACCTAAAATTAAGTCTTCAAGTCCACTCTATGTCAACTTGGCACCCATACATATCTCCTTAAAACATACTTAATTTCCAAATAAAGACAATAACAAGGTAATAGTACTGCTGAGCATGATGCAATTATCCTGTGAGTGTAATTACTGAGATTTTAGATGTTAGCGATTTTAGACTTTGGGAATTTTGATCTTTCAGGATTTCAACATTCAGGATAATGGTGTTCAGGATTGTGTCTGATATGGTTTGGATGTCTGTCCCCTCCAAATCTTACATTGAAATGTAATCCCCAGTAATGGAGATAGAGCCTGGTGGGAGGTGTTTGGATCATGGGGGTGATCCCTCATGAGTGGCTTAGTGCCATCCCCTTGATGATGAGTGAGTTCTCGCTTTGAGTTCATGAGAGATCTGGTTGTTTAAAAGTGGGTGGTACCTTGCCCCTCTTTCTCTTACTCCAGCTTTTTTCACAGAAGACACCAGCTCCCCCTTCACCTTCCGCCATGATTGTAAGCTTCCTGAGGCTCTCACCAAAAGCAGATGCCGTCACCATACTCCCTGTACAGCCTGCAGAACTGTGAGCCAAATTGATCTTGTCTTTATTAATTGCTTAGCCTCAGGCGTTCCTTTTTAGCAATGCAAGAACAGACTAACACATGTCTTTCAGAATTATGATCTAAATAAACCTATTTATTTTAGGTTCTGAAGTTTTAAAAGGTTAAGTGTTCAACTGTACCTTAAATAATTAAGAGTGATTCCTTCCGGCTTTCTTTTTAGGAGAAAAAAATAATCATATGATAAGTTCAAACACTGACTCAATTCAACAAAAAGTACACAATTAGGACAAACTAAACTATTTAGAACTTTTGTCCTAGAATCCAAAGAGCCCTTAGAAGTGTCTCCCTACTGAACATCTCCTCACAGAATAAAGAAACCCACTGCACCTCAGAATCTCCAGTATAAAGTCATTCAGGCTTTGCTTGAATACTTCGTGTGATGAGAAGCTCATTACTTCACAAAACAGCCATTTCACTTTTGATCGAGTTTAATTGCTACACATGCCTTCTGTATCCAGAACCCCAGGCCATCTCATGAAAACTTTTCCTGATTGCTTCTGTTCTGCCTCGCCAGATCCTCCAATGTAAATTAATTATTAATTATCCCCCAAATAAGAAACGCAAATACAATTCAGACCCTCCTCCATTATAATTTTAAGTAATATTTTATATTACTTTCAAAGTAGTAATGCAATTATGTGAATACATATTTAGGCCCATTTTCAGTAATGAAAAATGAAATCTAAAAATGAAATTTATGTGGAAAAAAATTTTAAATTATAATAATAGAAACATTTATTCGGATGACTAGATATTGAGCAACTTTGACTAGTCCATAAAATCCTTATTTTAGCTAGTGGTGAGAAAGTAACTTGAATAAATTTATTTTTCAAAATAATTTTTTATTACTTAATACCTGTACAGCCATTTGATTCATGAAACAAAGGATAAAATATGTTATCCTAAAGTGTTCGCTTAGATATCTTGCAGAGTTGCAAAAACAGACTCCACAGAAAAATAAATACATAGGAAAATCTAACAAAACAAACCAAGTTAAATATTTCAAAGGTCACTTTTTAATTACTTTACAAAGGGTCCATTATGTAAACAAAGCTCTACTCCACAAGTCATGCTACCTCCCCCAACACCACCACCACTCTGATTCTAAGAGGAAATGGCTAAAATCATTCAAAGAGTTCTTTACTCTCTGAATACTAATGTTAAATAATTTTCTGTGTTATGCAAAGCACACACATATGGATTTATCCAAGACATAGAGGCTCTCCACAGAAGTTAAAAGCTGACCTGCATAATTCATCTAAGTTTCACGTCTTTGAGGTGGTGAATCATTTCCTTTGCTTTAAAATATTTTCCACATCTCACATAGGTCCATTCTCAGTTTATTTTCTTTTGAAAATGTTACCATTCATTCATAGCCCGCTACTTTAAAAGCTTTAATTGTAATAATAAACTCTCAGGTTTTTTCTGTCGTCTGACTTCTGTCACAAAGGTACTTAGGCTTTGTACCTCAAACAAGATGTTAAGAAGTACTGTTCCCCGGAATAGAATAGACATATTTAGACCTTATGCGGGGCAGCACGAGGTGGGCGGCACCTTTGGTGATGCAGTGTGGAGTCTGCAGTAACTGGTGTAATTGAGGCAGGGCAGAGGTGGCCAGGTGCTGGCTGAGCTGGCTCCTGAATATCTGGGCTTGGACTCCAGCATACGCAGACTTAAGGAAACATTGCCAGTGATGGCAAACCACATGTTGCTTGCTTCTCTTTCTTTAAAATTGCTTTTCTGAGAAGCCCAGACAAGACTGAGTGTAAAGCAGATGGCCTGCTCTCCTCAAAGTCACTGGGAAAGGGTCTTTTAATGGAAAAAGCTACCAGGCATCAATTCAGATAAGTGAGAAGGTCCTTACACCCGTGACAACGCCCTGAGCAGTCCATGAAGCTCTGCCTCACTCTTTCCATGACAGCATGTGGCTACTCTGGGCGCGGGAGAAGGAACAGAAACCCCAGCCTCAAAGAGCGTTTGGGGAACATCCAAGGAGAGTAACTAGATCTCTATAGTAACAATTTGTTAATATGATGACACTTCATCATAATGCTGTTTTAGACTACAGATATTAAGGCAAGGTGTTTTCACAAAGTTCAGTTAATCCTTGAATGATGCAGTCAAAGATCTGCATATAACTTTTGACTCTACAGAAACTTAATTAGTAATAGCCTACTGTTGACTAGAAGCCTTACCAATAACATAAATGGCCAATTTCCACAAATTTTGTACCATATTCTTACAATAAAGCTACAGAAAATATTATTAAGAAAATTATAAGGAAGAAAAGATATTTATTATTTATTAAGTGGAAGTGGGTCATCATACATAAAGGTCTTCATCCTCATCTTCACATTGAGTAGGGTGAGGAGAAAGAGGAGGTAGAAGAGGTGGCATTGGTTTTGCAGACTCGGGGTGGGTGACAGAGGTGGGAGAAAATGGAAGTAAATAGGATCCTCCGCACAGTTCAAATTCATGTTGTTCAAGGGTCAACTGTACTTTGGTTTATTGACTTTAGGGTCTGGCTCACTCAAAAAGTGCTCTAGGTGTTGCCTTTAGTGAGTCCTCCTCCCTTAGAAATAGTATATCAATATGCAAATCTGTATTACCTTCTGCCTCTGGCTGTTTGAATAAGGGTAGGCTTTGAGCACCCTCCCCAAACCAACCATATGAGGGCATTGTAGATGTCACCTATAATTCACACCTGTAGTTCATTAGTAGTTAACACTTAGTTAAACAGCTTTAGGAAATAAACTGCATTATGTCACCACTTATCTAAAAAATCACTAATTTGGTTTTTAATTCCATATGTATTTTGCACCTGTCACATACAAAGCACTTTGATAATTACTGTGGGAATATATCAATGGATCAGACAGGATTCCTGACTTCAAGAAGCTTATAGTTCAGTTGGCGAAATGATGCACAATACACAAGACAAACTACTAAAGACACAGACCAAATGCTGAGAAAGCCAAAAAGGAAGAGTGATTTACTTCCGTTGGGGTGACTGGAAGTTTCACTAAGGAAATGTGCTTTAAGCAGGATGTGAAAGGATTTGTAGTATTTGTAGACTCAATATTTGCAATGAATGTCCCATTTTTAGCTGCCTCAACCCTCCCTGGAGGCAGACATTGGATTTTGCTGTTTTCATCAAAGGACTGCAATGCCTGGAGAGATCTCTAGACTTCTCTAGACTCTAGTGATAATAATATCCAACAGCAGCTTCCTAGTTATCTCCGTGAGGGTATTGGTGTGAGGGTCTAGCCCGCTTCTATCCTAGGCATTGGTGCCTGAAGCTGAGGCTGGCAGGGGAAAGGAGCCCTGCCCTATGTTCCTGATGGCCAGCTGAGGCCTACATTCCTATGTCATTCCTGTTCAGCTCATTCTCCAGGCACTCCCCACTATTGTGCTTCTCACGCCATCCCAGACATCTCAAGCTGACTTCCCTCAATGACAAAACTCTGTATCTGATGTCCCCACATCTTTGTTTTGTTTTTCTAAAGCTCTACCTTGCTTTGTCCCTAATAACAATATAGCAGGGCTTTTCAAATTATGTCATTTCATTCAACATTGTTTTGTTATAATATTGATAAGAAAAAAGACTGATTCCTGGCCAGGGCCACTGTCTGTGTGGAGCTTGCACGTTCTCCCCATGTCTTTGTGGGTTGTCTTCGGGTACTCTGGTTTCCTCCCATACTTCAAAGATGTGCATGTTAGATTCACTGGTGTGTTTAAATGGTCACAGTCTCAGTGAGTGTCAGTGTGTGAATGCACCCTGTGATGGAATGGTGCCTTATCCAGGGTTGGTTCCCACCTGGTACCCTAAGCTGTTGCCAACCCTGAACTGGAAATAAGCAGGAAAATAATTACCTTACATGTTTAATATTAAAAGTGTTTTGATCTTTATTTAGATGTTTGGTGATAGTTCTGTGACCAGAAATACGGTGTAGGAAGTTGACTTTTTTATTTTAGAGAGAGGGTCTCACTATGTTGCCTGGGCTGGTCTCAAATTCCTGTGCTCAAGTGATCCTTCTGTCTCAGCCTTCCAAAGTGCTGGGATTACAGGCATGAGCCACCACGCCCAGCTAGAAACTTAACTCTTGTTTATATCAATTAGCTTATGGTAACATTGGTTTTGTTATACGTTTTGCTTAAAGCCATAGTTTCCAAGAACATATCAATGACTTTGAGGACTTAATGAATACTACTACTAATAATATAACAATTATTTGTTGAAAATTTACCATGTGACAGATAATATACATAATCTCAGTTAATATTTACAACAACCCTATGAACTTTTCAGAATTCTTTTCAGAACCAACTCTACTTGATTTAAGCAGTATATTAGTCAGCTTGGGTTGCCATAACAAAATACCAAAGACTGGGTTGCTTAAATAACAGAAATTTATTTTTCACATTCTGAAGGCTGGAAAGTCCACAATCAAGGCTTGACAGGGTTTGGTTTCTGGTGAGGTCCCTGGCTTGCAGACAGCTGCCTTCTTGCTGCATCCTCACATGAAAGAGAGAGGTTTCTCTTTCTCTCTTCCTCTTCCTATAAAGTCTTGGTCTTATCTGATTAGGGTCCCACTCTTATGACCTCATTTAACCTTAATTACTTCCAAAGATCCTACCTCCAGATATAGTCACACTGGGGGTTAGGACTTCAACATATGAATGGAGGAGTAGAGAGATGACAAAATTCAGTCCATAGCAAGTAGAAAAGAAATTGGTTGAAAGAAACTAGAGTAGCTCATAAAATCTCCAGGAAGTTTAAAGTGCCAGCTCAGAAAATAGGCAGGAGCAAAAGGAAGTGAGGTAGCCAGAATCATAGCCAAACCATGACCAGAACCATTCTGATGAGGACCCTGTTGCTATCACTGGCTGTCAGCCGCTGCTGCCTCAAAAGCCAAATGCTGGTGTCCGCCACCACCAGCAGCCTTGGTATTCATTTTCCCTGCTTCTGTAAGTGCCAGTTCAACAAACCAGGCATCTGATTAAGCAAGCTTAGGTTACAGGTAAGCAACCTAGCTGCAAGGGATGCTGGGAAAGACAAGACCTGGGCTATTTTTTAGCTTCTATAATGGAAGCAGGCCCTACATCCTACCAAGTCTCATATAATACAGAATATTCTAATCATGGGGAAAGGTTCAGATGCTAGATAGATGCCCCTCCAAAGGACAACCAACACAATTATAATCTCCCATTACAAGTGGTAAGTTAACACTTAGCATACATATGTAAATAATTAAAACAATTTCATGAAATCTCTTATTATGTGCCATGTACTCCAATATTGTGTATATGTTCTATTTTACATCACTAAAAAGTTATGATCATGAACAAGTAAATTGAGTTTATAACCTACAGGAACATGAATCATAATTTGAAAAACAAAAGACTAAGATTAATGTCAGAAGAAATGGGAAATATTTAGGAGGTTATCCCATTATCAGCTGAGAAAAGATAAGGGCATGGACTGTGACACTAAATATGGGAATAAAGCTTTGGAAACAGATGTAAAATGCTTCAAAGAGGAAATATTGACAGATTTTCCTGATGAATGAATGTTGTTTGGGGTTATAGTGAGAAAAGAGTAAAGGTAAGATCCAAAATTTCTAGCCCAGATAAAAACTTAGTGCTTAACTAAATTAAGCTCTTTCACTGAAAACTGTTTGTCTAACAAATCTTGAAAGGCCAATAATAAAAAATGAGATGAAGTCTTAGAACAAGTAGAAAGACTTGGACAGGAAAGTCAATATAAGGAACCAGGCCAAAAAAGATCAAATTGATATGAGACTATCTGGTACTATTCTTTTGGGGAAATATAAGGTTTAGAAAAGAAAGGGAGAATTTTGAGAAAAATAAAATTAACCAAGGGGGAAAATAGAATAGGAATAAAAAGAGAAGAAAAGAAAATCTGAAAGTAATATTTGTTTAACATTTTAGCACCCTTTACTGACATATATTTTAGGATTTTAAAATACTTAAATGAATTTATTAACAATAAATTATACAGAGAAGATATATGGAAAAATCAGCCTTGTGAAACTTTCCCCACAGATGAATTGTATAAATTCAACTGGTATGTCTATGACTTAGCAAGAAAGGAAAGAGGACAGGGGCCATAAGCTATAGATCAGTCGTGTAGAAGTTGATCCTGAGCAAAATGCAGAAAGAGATGATCATATGACTGGCTTTTTTGCTTACCTGAATTCTTCCTCTACCAGACTATGAGCATCACGAAGGAAGGAGCTGTGGCTTTTTCTTCTTTATATCTCAGATGCATACCGTATACACAAAGGCCCAGAGTGCGCACTTAAGAAATATGGGCTGAACCAAATTGAACTGAGCTGAGCAAGTTGACTAAGAACAAGCCTTGTGGGTAAAATGTGGAAATGTGAACTGAAATATACAAACAGAGTTGGAGACATCTGCAACAGTTTCAAAGAGTTCTGATCAATACCCACTGACAGGAAAATCTTTAGTGGCCTATTCCTGGGCTATGTACATGAATGGCTCCTGTTTAATATTTTTACCAAACAATTATGGAATACCCAGATAATATGCACATCAAATTTACAAATGACTCAGGGCTGGGAGGTAAAACTAACATACTAGATAACTGAGTCAGGATTAAAGACAAAAAAGCTAGAATGAGAGAACCAAACCTAACAATAACAATTTTAAAAAGTAACAGGGATCAATAAAAAGTCTTGCAGCACAATAATAACAAACAAATTAATTGCATTAGTACAGGAGAGGGAAATGTAAAATGACTCAGACTTTCAATTCTCCCACTATAGCTGTCCAGAAAGCCTAAAATCTCTCCTTCTAAAATCTACTTAGAGATTCTGGATAAAATATAATACATACTCCTTTTAATGCATAAATTTGCAAAAATGTAAGGAAAATATCTAAGGACCCAAAACAAAGAAGTAAATGAAAATCGAAATAAAAGCTTATGAGCTAATCCTGGGGCACACATAGGAGTGTGGGATGGAGAAAGAAGGCTGACATCAGAAACCAGGGTCTTAGGCCAATAGGGAGTGGGTAATTTGAATTGAAGATGGCTTTATAAACCTGAAGCTATCACTAATAGGAATGTCAAAGAAACTTGCCTTTCTACCTGAACTATGGGTGGGAAAAGTCTTCCTTCAGTATTTGTAAACATTGACTCTATCCATGTACATAATTGAGGTGTAAATTTGTACTACCCAAATGTCATGCAAATCTCAATCACAGAAAGTAATATAAAAAGTGGTTTGAAGATGACTAGCCCTGAAGTAGCAGGCAGAAGCAAAAATAAATCTACTCTATAGTGATGTGCCCATAAACTAGCAGAACAGGACTCCAGTAGACAATGTCCCACCAAACATGAGCTCACAATCTAAAACAACAAAACCCACAAGAACACAATTCCACCATAAAAGAGTCAGCAGGTATAACAAAGAGTGAGTGTAGACATACAAGAGCTATCACATAAGACTATATAATAGACATGTTTAAAATTATTAAATACCCAAAATAAGTTATAAAAAATAATAACATAACAAGACACTATGAAACACAAAAACAGATAGGAAAAAAAAATGACCAAGTAGAACTTCTAAAAATGAAGATATCACCATTGAAACTTTAAAAACTCAATATAAGGGTTAAATGGAAGATTAGACATAGGTGAGAAAAGGCTTAATGAACTAGAAGAAATATTTGAAGAAACTACTCAAAATGCAAGAAAGAGCAATAAAAAGAAAGAAAATATATTTTTCAAAGTCTAAGGGATAACACTGAATGAAAAGAAAAATGTATGTTTAATATGAGTTACAGAAATAGGCACTACAGAGAATGGAGGAAAGGAAATATGGAAAAAAAAAAAAGACTAGCTGAGAATTTTCCAGAATTGGTGACAGACATGAATCCTCAGATTTAGGAAGCACAATTAGTTCCAACTGGGATAGATAAATAAAAATAAATCCACATTGAGATGCATCATTGAGAAACCATAAAACACCTGCACAAAGTAAAACTCTTTTAAAAAATGCAAGAAAAGACATTGCCTGAAAAAGACCAATTAGACTAAAGCAGACTTCTCAAAAGCAAAAGCTAAAGAGTGATGGAATCGTTATCTTCAACATACTGAGAGAACATGCTGTCAACCAAGAATTCCACACCCAGCTAATATGTAAATCAAATGAAATAAATAATGAAAGAGTTAATCATTAATAGACCCTCTCTGAATAAGCCATCAAAGGATGTACTTCAGGAAGAAGGAAACTGAAACCAGAAAGAAGTGAAAACAGGCAACACTTAGCAAAGAAACTAGGATAACACGGGGAATAAGCTAAACATGCACAGATTTTTTAAATAAAATAACAGTAATTACTAATGAGTCATATAAAAACAAGATAGAATTAAAACATTTAACAATAGAGAAAATGGGAGGTATGTGATTAAAGTGAATCATATATATCAGATAAGTAGCGACATTAATTTTAGACTTTATAAAGTCAAGTATGTTTAAAAATTTTTAACAATAGCCACTAAAAGAAAAGAAAGTACAAAATTTTCAAATAATTAGCAGAGAAAACAAATAAGGAAAAGTTTGTCAGCAAAACAGGCAGTAGGAAAGGTGGGAGAAAAAAGAAAAAGGCACAGAAAAAAAGGTTAAATTGAAAAGTAAATATGATAGAAATGATTGCAAATGTTGGCAAACCACTAAATCGACTAAAACTTGAATAAAAGTAAAAATCATCCATGTCATTTATAAAGAGACTCAACTAAAGCATAAGGATATAAGAAGCTTGAAAATAAAAACAAAAAATATATATTTTTATATATCCCACTTAGTGTAAAGATTCACACATTTTATTGTGATCATATCAATATGCTTGATTACTGAATGCTGGCCCAGATCCTTTGCTGGTGTTATATAATATTCTGTACTGTGGGCTTTAGAAAAGATATAGTAGACCTATAATTTTGTAAAATAGACTTTAAGATATAAAGAATTGTTAGAGATAAAATCAGTCATTACATAGGATAAAAGAGAGGATTTTCAGGAAGGTGAAACAATTCTAAACTCATAACACAACCTCCAAATATATAAGGCATAAATTGACAGAATTACAAGTAGAAATATATGCATCTGAAGGTTTTTAACACATCTCCCTTGGTTCTTGATAAATCAAACAGAAAAAAAATTCACATGGATATAGCAAACCTGGACCACAAAGTCAACAGGTTTGATCCAAATGGATAAACGTGGAATATTGCAGGAAGTTTTTTAGTTATTAAAAAGACTTCAGACAATTTTATTTATTTATTTATTTATTTATTTATTTATTTTTATTTTACTCTAAGTTTTAGGGTACATGTGCACATTGTGCAGGTTAGTTACATATGTATACATGTGCCATGCTGGTGCGCTGCACCCACTAATGTGTCATCTAGCATTAGGTATATCTCCCAATGCTATCCCTCCCCCCTCCCCCGACCCCACCACAGTCCCCAGAGTGTGATATTCCCCTTCCTGTGTCCATGTGATCTCATTGTTCAATTCCCACCTATGAGTGAGAATATGCGGTGTTTGGTTTTTTGTTCTTGCGATAGTTTACTGAGAATGATGGTTTCCAATTTCATCCATGTCCCTACAAAGGATATGAACTCATCATTTTTTATGGCTGCATAGTATTCCATGGTGTATATGTGCCACATTTTCTTAATCCAGTCTATCATTGTTGGACATTTGGGTTGGTTCCAAGTCTTTGCTATTGTGAATAGTGCCGCAATAAACATACGTGTGCATGTGTCTTTATAGCAGCATGATTTATGCAGCCAAAAAACACATGAAGAAATGCTCATCATCACTGGCCATCAGAGAAATGCAAATCAAAACCACTATGAGATATCATCTCACACCAGTTAGAATGGCAATCATTAAAAAGTCAGGAAACAACAGGTGCTGGAGAGGATGCGGAGAAATAGGAACACTTTTACACTGTTGGTGGGACTGTAAACTAGTTCAACCATTGTGGAAGTCAGTGTGGCGATTCCTCAGGGATCTAGAACTAGAAATACCATTTGACCCAGCCATCCCATTACTGGGTATATACCCAAATGAGTATAATTCAGACAATTTTAAATTGACTCTTGGAATCATGTGTCAGGTGGAGAGTTTGGTCAAATGACCTCTAAGATCTCAACTGACTCTGGGATTGTTTAGTCTAGTTTCAATAAATATTTCACTTACAGATTTAAAATACAGGCCAGGCTTTTCTTTCTTTCAAAACTGGGTAAAGCTCTAGGATGAGTTATAGCTTGAGGTATAAACCTCAACATTCCCACTGTGTTCCACTTTGAGTTTGGTGTGGGGTGGGGATCACCAATCTAAACCCAAAGAAAACTTCATGGGTGTAGCCCAAAGGGAACCAAATCAAACGAACCAACAATTTTGCACAAATTCCCATGAGCCAAAACCACTGAATTTCACTCAGCAACAAAGACCTATATTAGACCCCCTCATCAACTTGAGCCAAATTTTCCTAAACCTCAGACATATCAGGACACTGTTGAGTTTGAAAGATGAACAAAAGGCTTGATTTTAAAAGAATTAACTTGAAACTATTCAAGCTTCTATAACATTTTGGAGTCTTTACAATAGAACATTTTGGAGTCTTTACCATGGAATAAAATAACTGAAGAAATAAATCATAAAAGGCCCCAGTACCCTCTTCCAGAGAGCAGTATTTCCTCCTAGACATTCACCGCAGAGGAAAATAAAAAAATCACATACTGATGTTCAACAAACAAATGACAGCAGAATTTTAAAAGGAAGAATAAGTTACAAAGCACACGTTGAAATAATATGTTGGGCTAAATTTACAACTAACATCTTTGTAAAAACAGACTTGGCCCAAACATCAATTTGTATACACAATTAGAGTTCTGTTATTAAAAACAGATGAAGACAAAAGGAAGCCATCATTTAATTGGTACTAACTGTACCTACTTGTGTGGAAAACAGTGCTGTGTGTACTGATACATGAATTCACATGGCCAAATTTATGATATCTCAGTCTCTTTTTAAAGAGTCCAGTTAATCTGCTTACATCATATCATTTTTAAGGGATGCATTAGGGCGGTATTATCCTCACTGATGCTTACCTTACCACCAGGGGTGAGATACCTAGAAATGGAACGGTGGGGGACAGGGCAAGGAAGACGGAAGAAAAGTTAACAGAGGAGTCATCTGTCCAGTAGAATTTTAGATCCTTTGGCTTCTTCTGAAATTCCCTTTGGCTTTTGAACATGTCATTCTCTCTCCATGGAATGCTATCCAGAATGTCCATGTTTCTGAATTGGAGATCAGCCTTATAATCAATGCATAGATAATACATGGCAGGGTTTCTTTTCTTTTCTTTTTTTTTTTTTTTTTTTGAGGCGGAGTCTCACTCTGCTGCCCAGGCTGGAGTGCAGTGGTGCAATCTCGGCTCACTGTAACCTCCACCTCCTGGGTTCAAGCAATTCTCTTGCCTCAGCCTCCCGAGTAGCTGGGACTACAGGTGCATGCCACCATGCCCGGCTAATTTTTTGTATTTTTTTAGTAGAGAAGGGGTTTCACCGTGTTAGCCAGGATGGTCTCAATCTCCTGACCTCGTGATCCGCCCACCTCAGCCTCCCAAAGTGCTGGGATTACAGGCGTGAGCCACCATGCCTGGCTGGCAGGGTTTCTTTTCTTACATGGAAGCTGTTATAACCTAACAGTATATCTTAAAAGTTCTGGCATCTCAAATAAAACAAGTATAGTTAGTTTTTTTGTTTGTTTATTTTGAGGCAGGGTCTCATGCTGTTGCCCAGGCTGGAGTGCAGTGGCGTGATCTCAGCTCACTGCAACCTCCACTTCCCGGGTTGAGCAATTCTCATGCCTCAGCCTCCCAAGTAGCTGGGATTACAGCGGCACACCACCACACCTGGCTAATTTTTGTAATTTTAGTAGACACAAAGTTTCGCCATGTTGGCCAGGCTGGTTTTGAACTCCTGACCTCAAGTGACCCGCCCACCTCAGCCTCCCAAAGTGCTGGGACTACAGGCATGAGCCACCATGCCCGGGTGTATAATTAGTTTTTAATTCAGAAAACTATCAGCTTCTTAAGAGCAGACATGGCACTTTAATATTTGTCAGTAATTCCTGCTGTACCCATCATAGCTCTGGCTTTCAGTGACTATGCACTGACTGGTTTAGATAGGCCTTCAAACAACTTAGAGTTCAATACAGTAAACAGGAGAACACCAACAGAAAATTCACTAATGCATATATGAAACTGTAGAAGGGAAATGGGTCAGCTACCTTTCTCACAGATAGATAGTAGAGGGAGACATGATGGGCTTATCAATGAAGACCTTAATCTAAGAACTAAAAGAGAGAGAATGCAGTTTAACAGGCAGTGAAACAAATACCCCATGCTACTCTGACAACTTGACAAAGACTAGAAATAGGTGGTCATTAAGCCAGCAGCTTTGCTAAAAAGGCCAGTAGAAGATGTAGTAAGTGGTTATAAAAGTAAGGCAATAAGCTAAGGTAGCTACAGAAGTGGTGCTACCATTCCATAAACATGTATTTAAAACCCTTTTTGTCCCATTTTATTAGGTAAAATAGGGAATAGAAGAAGGACTGCAGGTGGGGAATGCAAAAGTGAATAAAACACAGTGCTTGTCTTTAGTATGGTCAGTGTACAGGACACAGGCAGATAAATACAATTACAATATGATAAAGGCCATGTATCAAGTACTTTGGGTACAAGGAAGAGGGAATAAATGTGTCTGTCTGAGAAAGCCAATAAAAGTTCTTAATAAATGACTTCAAAAAGTAATTCAATGCTGAGAAGTTGAATCTGGGCAAATAAATACATAAAATAAAATAAAATAAAATAAAAAATAACTCAAGACATTTTTATACTATAACATTAAGGCAAAATTTTGATGATCCGATTTGAACACAATGACCATTACAATGAAGGAAAGATCTTCATAATATAACCAAGCTGTTTCCATATTTCAGAAGAATACCCAATTAAAAGCAAAAACAAAAAGACCTTCACTTCTCTATTTACAACAAACTGCCAACACCAAATAGTTCACTATAGGAACTGTATTCTGTTTTGTTTTGTTTCATTTTCTGGCCCTTGTTCATGTATATTTTCATGTATAAAAACAGCACCTGAGGATGTAGCTTTTTATGCTACAAAAAGTAGGAGAGAATACTATTTACCTTAATGTTTTAAAAAAAAACTCTAGAATCTTTTCTTGTCAACAAATCATAATTGCCTTTTAATTTTTTTCTCTTCCTCAACTACCCCTACTTCTTTCAATACTCAAATCCTTCAGCCAGAAACAAACAAAAAACCCAAAGCCAACATTCCATGTAAAATATCAGGGAGGCTAGAGAAGAGGCAGGAGGTTCACTAGATAGATCTCACTTCTCATTTCAGAGTCAGAACTCTTCCCTTCCCAATTCCACGGAGAAATGGACAATAAGCAGTTTCATCCTTAGTTTCTGTGGACTGGAAATGCAATTTCTGGCCCTGTGACAAATTCCGCTATAACAAAGCCAATAGCATGCCCCGTGGAATTCACTGTAATGGGATTTTAACTGTATTGGCATTATGTACAAATCCAAAGAAAAGCACATCTTAGGGAATGATGAATGTAGGAAGAACTACAGGGGTATGTAGAGTTTGGAAAATTCACCATTTTTTTCTTTCAGAGAAAAAAAATGCTCATCGGGGGAAATACTGAATTCTGTCAACTTACTCATTCCACAGATATTTATGAATACTTACTACATATCATGTGTCAGGCACTGGTCTCACTGCTAGGAATGCAGTAATAAGAAGACAGAAAAGAACCATGTTCTCATGGAACTTATGTATGAATCGGGGAGACAGATAATAAATAAACAAGAAAAAGATCAGAAAGCATAAGTACTGTTATGCATCGCTAAACAATAGTGATACATTCTGTGAAATCCTTCATTTGGAGATTTAGTCCTTGTGTGAACATCATAGCATGTACTTACACAAATCTAGATGGTTTAGCCTACGACACACCCAGGCTATATTGGCATAGACTGTTGCTCCTAAGGTACAAACATGTGCAGGATGTTACTGTACTGAATACAGTAGGCAACTGTAACACAGTACTAAGCATTTGTGTCTCTAAACATATGTAAATATACAAAAGGTACAGTAAAAATACAGTATTATAATCTCATGGGATAACTTTTGTATATGTGGTCTGTCAATGATCTAAACGTCCTTATGCAGTGCATAATCGAACTATGAAGAGAATGCAAATAAAATAATGCACTACAATGTGACTAGATAATTTCTTTTTATTTTTTTTGAGATGGAGTCTTGCTCTGTTGCCCAGGCTGGAGTGCAGTGGCGCAATTTTGGCTTACTGCAACCTCCACCTCCTGGGTTCAAGCGATTCTCCTGCCTCAGCCTCCTGAGTAGCTGAGATTATAGGTGTGTGCCACCATACCCAGATAATTTTTGTATTTTTAGTAGAGATGGGGTTTCACCATGTTGGTCAGGCTGGTCTCAAACTCCTGACCTTGTGATTCACCCACCTCAGCCTCCCAAAATGCTGGGGTTACAGGCATGAGCCACCGCGCCAGCGTGACTAGATATTTCTAATGCGATTGGGAGGTCAGCAAAGCCTTTCTGAGGAGCTAACAGTAAAACTGAGATCTAAGCGATAAGGAGGAAGGACACTTAGAGATAAGGTAACAGGCCAAAGGGCAAGAACAATCTTGTCTTATTTTAGGAAACAAAAGAAAGCTGCTGAGCCTGGGCAAAGGAAAGGAAAAGGTAGGTCTGAGAGGCTGGTAGAGGCCAGATGGCAGGGTTTTACAAACAAGGTATAGTCTGAGTTTTATGCAAAGTTTGAGAGAGCCTTTATAGCACTTTAAACAGGGGGATGATTGGATATGATCTGCATTTTTAAAAGCTCATTTTGGCTAGTGAATGGTGACTGGACTATAAGTGGCCAAGAGAGTGAAGGGTTAGAGGATTGCTGCAAAACTGATTAGGGTGGCAGTAATGAAAATGGAGACAAATTGATTGATTCGGGAGATACTTTAGAGTTCAGTTGACAGGACCTGCTGAAAGGAGATGAGGAAAAGAGCAAATCAGAATGACTGGAGCCATTTACTAAGAAAAGGATAATTGAGGGAGGACAGATTTGGATAAAGAGGATCAAGAGTTCCTTAAAATATACCAACTTTTAGATGTTCATAAATACCCAAGTGGAGATGTCAAGAATGTGACTAGATACAGATGTCTGGAGTTCTGGGGAGAGATCAGAGCTAGAGATACAGATTTGAGAATCAATGACATAAAGATTATATTCAAAGTCATGGAACTGAATGAGATCATAAAGAGATCAAGAAGAGAAGACTTAGTCCAAGGTTGGGGCCATCAGTGTTAAGGGCTCATGAAGGAGAGGAGGAATAGGCAAAGAAGACAGAAGAACAGCCGAGTGGGTAAGGGAATAGGATAGTGTGTATCTGTTTGGGTCATCCTCTGGAAATCTGACACCAAGATGGAATTAGATGTACAAGAGAGATATAAAAGAGGAGGAAGTAGGATTAGGTAATGAGAGGTTCAGACCTGGTGTGGATCTGACATCTGTGAAAGGAGGCAGGGATAGTAAGGATTAGATACGAAGAGCTCAGTTCTAAGAAAGACTTGACCTAGTCAAAGGAGAGTTTGGATTCAACATTGCCAATTAGAAGATTCTCATGTAATGAAAGAATGTTCCAATTCTAGTATCCCCATCATGCTCAGTTATTGACTGGGAACACTCCAAGGAAGCCTGGATTGTGTTTCCACTGTGTTCAATCTAGGGGTATGGTAGCTGAAGGCTGCTAGTCAGCTCTTGCCCTGCAGCAGATACTCATGAAGGGAGACACAGGACACTTCCATAGCTACCACAGTATGATGTTATGAAAATTAAGAGTAGGCCGGGTGCAGGGGCTCACGCCTGTAATCCTAGCACTTTGGGAGGCCAAGGCAGGTGGTTTGCTTGAAGTCAGGAGTTCGAGACCAGCCTGACCAACATGGAGAAACCCCATCTCTACTAAAAATACAAAAATTACCTGTAATCCTAACACTCTGGGAGGCCAAGGTGGGTGATCACCTGAGGTTGGGAGTTCGAGGCCAGCCTGACCAACATGGAGAAACCCTGTCTCTACTAAAAATACAAAATTAGCTGGGCATGGTGACACAAGCCTGTAACCCCAGCCACTCGGGAGGCTGAGGCAAAAGAATCACTTTGAACCCGGGAGGCGGAGTTTGCAGTGAGCCGAGATCACGCCATTGCACTCCAACCTGGGCAACAAGAGCAAACCTCTGTCTCAAAAAAAAAAAAAAAATACAAAAATTAGCTGGGAGTGGTGGCAAGTGCCTGTAATCCCAGCTACTCTGGAGGCTGAGGCAGGAGAATCACTTGAACCTGGGGGACGGAGGTTGCAGTGAGCTGAGATTGGACCACTTCACTCCAGCCTGGGTGTAAGAGTGAAACTCTGTCTCGAAAAAAAAAAAAAGAAAGAAAATTAAGAGTAAACAAGTATTTTAAAGAGGAGGAGGAAGAAATTTAGCCCTGTCAAATGCTGCTTAAAGATCAAATAGGACAAGAATGGGCACATGACCATGCTTTCAGGCAACATGAGTATCACTAATGACTCTAACAAGCAAAAGCAGTCTCAGCAGGGCAGAGAAGACAGACAGAAGCCCAGTTGGAGAGGGTCCAGAAATAAATGGGAAGTGAAGTATAGGCAAGAGGACAGACAACTCTTTTCAGGTAGTTTTTGTGGAAAAGGGGAGCACAGAAATGGGAAATAGCTAGAAGGGATGAGAGTAAATGAAGGTCATTGTTTTATTTTAAGAGAGCAGATACTACAATGAACTGATGAGAATGATCTCATAGAGTTGGAAAAATCAGCGATGCTGTGGAAAGAAGAAAACTGCAAGTGCAATATACTTGAGATGGCAAGACAACAAGGCCTCAGGAAACAAATGGAGGACTGGCCTTTGGCAGAGACAGTAGAGCTCTGACTACAGTAACAGGAGGGAGGCCAAGGAATTAGGTGCAGATGCAGGCTGGCAGATATGACGTGGGAGAATGAGGCTGTACTTGATTGGTTGGGTCTATTTACTCAGCGAAGTATGAGGAAGCTGAAAGTGAGAGCAAGGGAAGGGAATGTAGGAAGTTTGAGAAGAACCAAATTGGGAAACAGTCATCTCTGACAGTGAGAAGGTGAACATACCAGAGAAGCGTATTAGGACTGTAAGTCTGCACTAAGTGCCCATTTGAAATATGCAGGCATGAGTCTATAGTGAGTTCAATCATTTCAGTTAATATTTTACTCCAGCAATATTCAGCAGCCCAGCCATAGAGATAGAGTAGGTGGATGATCGAGTTTAACCAGAGGGGAAATTTTGCTGAGTATATGACAGAAAAAGAAATGGAAGGCTTAAATGGTGTTTCTTGACCACAGGTCCAACCCCACATGGGGCACAGTAGTTGCCAGCAGACAGAACTGATGGTTGAATGGTCATAGCCCCTCCAAATTTCCAACGCTCTAGAAAAACTTCTACTCCTATTTTCCCCTCTGTTTGGGCAATCTCTTTATTTACTTTTCCTTTGTAGCAAATTAAACTCACAGATACTGACGTTTTTAATGAATACAATGCAAAAATCTGCTGCATAAATCTACTTTTGTTTTAATTGATTTTTAATGACTTTTTTTGAAATTTTATTCTTTCATGATGAGGGTTGGATTTTAAACCATCTCTGTACGTAAATATATCTTCTTATTTGGATGGCAGATGAAAGAGCCTTTTGATGAAAATAAACAAAAGAGCTCAAAATGACATCTTCTTCTTAAGTCTTTGCCAGGACAATTGAATAAATCATATTTTGTAAGGTGTTTAGCTTAATAGATCTGTCTGGATTTCAAATGTATGTAAAATGCTTTTTTAAACAAAAGGCACTACCACATTGATCTTTTTTTGGCAATTTGCCTTGAAAAATAGATGCAACCAGAATTACCCCTTTTATTTTAACAAACCTTTGAAAATGCACTTAAAATTTACTTTCTGTAGGCAAAAACATTTGATAGAAAAGATGCTAATTATGCCAATCACATGGCAAATGGAAACTTTTTAATAAGCAGCTTTCTCTTATAGTCTTAAAGCTACAGTTTATTTCAGAATAAGTCTTAAATACAACCCAAGGTGAGTAGTTTGAGAAAATATAAATGATTGCTTGTGTTCACAGATTAGATTTTCTGGCCAAATTCCCTAGTTTGGCAGTTTTAGCCCATGGTAATATCAAATGAGATTCCAGGCAAGCAGAGTGAACTGCAAAGAAACCCTGGCTTTCTCTCATAACCTAACCCCCCACATTAGAAAAAAATGACTGTGAACAAATCTGTCAAAACCAGGACCTTCACTATAGAATAACCACCCAAGACCCAAAGCATAAACAACCACTCATTCTATTGTACTCTTTTTAACAATAAGAACACCTGAATCATTAATGCATGTTTTTTTCTTCTTTGAGCTCCTAGAAACCAATTGCATTTTTAAAGCTAGTGTATACCTGAGACTAGTATAATTACAGGCTACCATTCTATGACATTTTAATGATCCAAAGATCCCAAAATAAAGAACAGGGCTGGTTTTTTATTTTTAGTATTTTAGCATGAAGAAATGAAGCTACACTTTAGGAGGCTGCTGTGTTGGAAGAAATTTCAGCTGCCAAATAAGTCATCTAGAAGCAGTATTCTGTAGCAACCCAGGATACCTAGAGTCCAGAATCAACACACTGCAGCTGCATTCAATAGCAGCGCCACAACACAAGCCCAAGAGGATGGAAAATGTGACCGGTTACACCACAGATGAATATGGAAGACAATGAACAATGAATACTGAGTGGTGAAAGTAGGGGGCAGGGCAGAAGAAGACACATCCCCCAACACAAAGCAGACAACAAAATGACGACTACATCAGTTCTGGGAACCAACGGACAGGACCAAAATTATGTAGAAACTAGGTCATTCTGAAAAATGAATACTAACGCCCAACATCGGGCTCTTAAGAAAAGAAAGAAGCTAAATTTGAGCCTTTGAGAGTTCATATTTTAAAGAGAATACTTAGTTGTTGGCAAAGAATTGTTCTCTAAAAGGTCTGAAAGTAATAAGTAAAATTTGAACTTCTTATTCCTTAACATCAAAGAGTATCATTCTTTCATTCTTTCCTGGGTAAAAGGGAAAAAATAATCAGCATCTTTTGAAGTATGCAGATGAAAGGGCTAGGTGGGGAGGAATGATAATTTGGGTGATCAACCTTATCTGTCATCAGCATGATTAATTTTAATACATTTTGTTAGTATAAATATTCCTAAAGCAACAATGTAATAACTGTGTTATACATATTATCATACTTAGGTTAAAATCACTAGGCTGCAGCCAGACTTTCTGGGCTCAAATCCTGGCTTTATCACATATTAGCCATGCAACCTTTGCAGGTCATTGAGTGTAGCTGTGCTGCACTTTTCTTTTCCACAGAATGAGGATACTTTTCTAGTTGAGAGGATTATTTAATTACTCCATGTAAAGCACTATATCAACAAGGACCCCAATAGGAAATAGATGGCATACTCCATTCATAGAGGGTCTTGTGACAAAGATGTGTGTGTGTATATACAGGGGAACCACAAAGCATAGTGCTGAAACCTGCGGCTAGCAGTAGATTTGTTAACCCCCGTAGGCCTGAAAGGTTACTGGAATCCAAAAGGAGTGAGAAAGTTCTACAGAATAGGTGGTCTTGAGAAGGAACTCATCTTCAGTCTGGAGAAACTGCCAATCCAGGGTGACCTTGCAGGGGAGAATGCAAGGGGGAAACATATTTTGAGTTCACTGTCCTCCCCTCTGATCTCCTGCTGGGGTTTCCCATTGGCTGACCCCACTGGGAGGCCAGAGGGCAGGAGGCAGGTTACTGAGCCCACACAGGTCAGCCTACCAGGACAGACAGCAGATGGAGAAGGGAAGACAGGAGATCTCTTCATGGCAGGGCAAATGAAGAGATCCCACTCAAGCACTTCACTGTACTGGGAAACACCTGATGACTACACATCTTACTTTTGCCAAATATATATCGCTGTAATGAATGTAATTACATCATATTAATCAGTACCAGTTGTGAGGATAAATGCACCGAGATAGAAGTTCACATGAATAGAACCCTATTTTCATTTGATAGATATCGGCCAGGAACTCATTGTTTATTCAATATATTGTGGCCCAGGAGAAAAGAATGAGAAAAGAAGTACCACAGGAACGAGTAGTAGCCTTTCTCAGATTTCCCAAGAAGCTGCCACAGCATTTGTAATCAAGCCAAACCCATAAAAAGAAGTGTGGTAAGGTACACCTCTGAGACATATTCCCCAGAGCCTTGGGCTTGTGCAATAAAAACAAATGGAGAGTCATGAGGAGGAAGTGGAGAACTGTATACAATCTGGCTTTTTATTTATTGTGAATAAAGATGATCTAAGTCTGAAGGATATTCACTGTAGAAAATTCTTAGAAATAGCAACCTGCAATCCACTTTCTTAGCTCAACACTTAGAAATATAATGTAAATCCAGCCTGGGTAGCATAGTGAGACTCCATCTCTATGAAAAATAAAAAGTTAGCCCAGTGTGTGCCACCACATCTGGATAATTTTTTATTTGTAGTCCCAGTTATTTGGGAGGCTAAAGTGGGAGGATCACTGAAGCCCAGGAGTTCGAGGCTGCAGTGAACTATGATTGCATCACTGCACTCTAGCCTGGTGACAGTGTGAGACGCTGTCTGCAAAAAAAAGAGAAAAGACAAGGAAAGAAAAGAAAAGAGAAAAGAAATATAACAAATATGAAAATATATTAGTTGATTTGAGATTTGATTTAAAAATGCAAAATGCAGCTGGGTGCGGTGACTCATGCCTGAAATCCCAGCACTTTGGGAGGTGAGATTGCTTGAACCCAGGAGTTTCAGGCAAGCCTGGGCAACATAGTGAAACCCTGTCTCTACAACAAATATGAAAATTAGCTGAGTGTGGTGGTGCGTGCCTGTGGTCCCAGCTACTTAGAAGGCTGATGTGGGAGGATCGCCTGAGCGTGGGGAGGCTGAGGCTGCAATGAGCCCTGGTCACACCACTGCACTCCAGCCTGGGTGACAGGGTAAGAAACTTTCTCAAAAAATAGTAATAATAATAATAATAATAAATAAAAATGCAAAATGCAAGCATTAAACATCAGGTCAGTCATGAATTCTGCTGTCATATAATTTATTTTTTGTTTTTCTTTTTTTTCAGAGGGCCAGGGTCTCACTCTGTCACCCAGGCCCGTGCAGTGGCACAAACATGGCTCACTGCATCACTGCAGCCTTGACCTCCTGGACTCAAGGGATCCTCCCCACTCAGCCTCCCAAGTAACTGGACCCACAGGCATACACCTCCATGCTAAGCTAATTTTTAAAATTTTTGTAGAGACCATGTCTTGCTATGTTGCCCAGGCTGGTCTTAAACTCCTGGGCTCAGGCAATCTTTCCACCTCAGCCTCCAAAAGTGCCGGAATTAAAAACTTCAGGTGTCAACCATCGCACCCAGTCAGTACAGGTTAACAATAATGTACATTTCAGTATATATTTGGTTATGAAGCCAAACATAATGAAAGGTGCCATTTTAAATTTTATTTAAAAATCACATTTTTAATTATCTAATTAATTCAAATACAAGAAAGTGTGTGTCATTTGCTAAATAGGGAAAAGTCAAAACATTTCTTGCTATTTATATAATGTGAATATTATTACATTTTATTAGGATAAACTATATAATGTAACATTTACTAATACAGTGATATAAACTAAAATAATGCTTCCTTTTATCTGTATGCCAAATGATTACATAATTTAAAACTTCCCGAAGGGAGTTTTCAATAATATATTATAGTGAAAGAGTGAGAGTATCGGAAAGGGTGGTAGGCACTGATGCAAAGTAACGATGTCAATGGCACTAGGGAAATAGGAAGAGGACAATTCTGGAAAGTTCCTGCATATGAGTCCTTGAATAAGGAACTTATACTTCATTCTGCAGACAATAGTAAGTCACTGAAGGAGGGAAAGAGTAGAATTGGTACAATATTTCTGAATGATTAACCAGGCAGTGCAAGATGGCCTGGACAGGGAGTGTCTAGAGCAGGAGGCTGGGTGGGCAAGTGGGTGGGCAGAAACCTGAATGAGGGCAGTGTAGGGAACAGACAAGCAGGGACAGACAGGAGGGAGAAGGGGAAGGGGAAGTAAAGATGAGGAGGGAAGGAGGGAAAGATCCCCCTGCGGAAGAAGAATGAACAGGAATTGTTATTGTCCAGGACAAGAGTAAAGGAGGACTCAAGGTAACCTAGGAGTGTCAAGCATAATAAACACTGCTGTGCCACCAACAGGAGACAGCTCAAGAAGAGTGGCCAATGGGGGACTGCAGGTAAGCTGAGAAACCAGCAAGGGGAGAACAGAGCAGGATCCAGATGGAAATGGCTGCAGGCAGAGGAAAATGCAGCCACAGAAGAGTGTCCTCTGCGTAGTTCAGTGCACTGATGGAGATGTGAACTTCAGCAAAGGAAATTTACAGACAAGGTTGCAGGCATAAGGGTTTTACATAGGGTTGTCCAATAAAATACAGTTAAATTTGAATTTCAGAGAAACAATGAATAATTTTATGGGTATGACCCATGCAACATTTGGGACATATTTATACTAAAAACGTGTTCACCATTTATCTGAAATTCACATTTAACTGGGAGTCCTATATTTTTCATTTTCTAAATCTGGCAACCCTGGTTGGAACTGAATTAGGAGATAAACTTCTGAAAAAAGCAAACTTAGCTGGAAACAAAGCTCCATGTAGTAAGGATAGTAAAGAGAAATATTTCTGAGAGAAGAGTAAAGGAAGAAAGGCTAAGAAAAAAGATACACGCATTTGAGGTAGCAGAAACGGAAAAGCTCCCTTATGATAACCTTTCTCAAAACAAGTCAGTGTCGAAAATGCTCAGTGTGGAGTTAAATTAAGAGCCTAAGGGCAAGTGAATATATAAAAACTTCTGCTCACTTTTGTAAGTTATATTTCTTGGAGGAAGGCTAAAGACCTTGAAGTTCCTTTCAACCCTAGGTTTCTGTGACTCAAGCTTTTCATGTATAAATGTTTCAATATTTTTGGCTACATAATTTTTTATATTATTAGAATTTCTATGTATGAAAACAGAACTGTGTTATTTAATGTAGCCATATAAATGACAATCTTATAAAGATTGCTTGGTGGTGATTCCATTAATAAAAAGCAAAATGACTATTTAAGTTTTTATGAGAAAAACATGTTTACATAAGTAAAAGGCATCATTAAGAGAAAAGCTATTGTTAGAAGAAAATATTAGCATCAAATGGAACAATGAAAATCTGTCAGTTTAAAACATATCACTTTGGCGGAAAAATACTACATAACTGCACTGGTGCCTCATCCTGAAGACCTTGGGAACTGCAGACTTGCTGGGTTGATCCAGTTCCTGTAGGACTGAGATAGAAAATGAGATATGAATTCTCACTTCTTACAGTCACCGTGTAACACCGTGGCCAATTTAACAGAATACAGGATACATTTCTATTAAAAAACAAAAACAAACCAAAAGGAACAAATCAAGACTAACGTGTTAATTAACAATACAAGGGAAAACATTTGGAAGATACTACTCCAGATAAAAACATAGATTTCTTCACCTGAACGTGGGAGGCGGAGGTTGCAGTGAGCTGAGATCTCGCCACTGCACTGCAGCCTGGCAACAGAGCGAGACTCCGTTTCAAAACAAAAACAAAAACATAGATTCTTCAGCATTCAGGAAATAACTCTTTACTGTGTACAGAAAAAACGTAAATCATCATCCTCAGAACATCTCAACCTGGTCAATAAAGAACTTGCAAACAAACCTGTCTCCCCTGCCCTGATTCTTCTCATTTTTATCTTCCAATATTTTGGTAGAGCAAGAAACCAACAAAAGCTCAAACTTAAAACTAAAGAAAATCAGCTTGTCTGTACTCACTTTTAAACAATCACCTAACTTTCCCCAAAGTAAATATTGCTATTCTTTTCATAACATGATGGTCACATGGAGACACTGTGCAGTCTGGTTTTGTTTGAGGTCACTATAATAGATATTCAGAATCACGCACAGGAAGAATTACATTGTGGAAGCTTTGCACTCACTTGTTGCTGGTACTTCTAATCTTAGGTTGACAACATCAGGTAAGTTGCCAAGTACTTCCTCAATAAGCTAAAACTGTGATAGAATGATGGTTATATCATTGAGATACTTCTGAACCTCCATTCATTACTTATTTTGTCAAGTAATTTCTAAGGAGAAACATTTTTACCATACCTATACTTTGATAAATTTACTGATGGTTAATTAATAAACAACCCTATTGTACTCTTACTCGTCCTTAAAGGATTTGCAATACATGAGATGAAACAGAAGAGTTATCCTCCATATTTTTTTTTCATTAGAGAAGAGTATACTGTACTTAATATAAAAAAGCCTCACTTTTAAAAGTCATATAGCAATGCACCTGCTAGTTAGGATAGAAATGAAGTAGCCTCTCAGCATCAAAAATATAACTATCATAAACAACTCTCACCTATCAATTCCCTCAGGGAAGAATGGATTCACTTAGGTGGTAATGAAAGGGCATGACTCAGTAGTGGTCACACATGGAACTGGCGTACAGCTGCGCTGCCCAGATCAATGTACGCATATGCCCCTGGGAGGTTGGTACTATGAGAATATCCTCCAGGAGCCACTTTGTTTTAGCTCGTCTGACTGAGGCCTTAAACAAGGAAAGGAAGAGAGCTGTTAAGGGCACCACAGTAGCACAAATCCAGAGATATTAAGACTTTCCTAACTCAAGTCACAAGGTCTTCCAGCTCAATAACTAATGCTTGATGCATATCTTAGGAGATAAAGTGTGAGGGAGAGATGCCTGGCTGCCTCCCAGTAGTTATTCTCTCCTTCTCTAGTAACAAAACCCCAGATTTTAATTGGGTACACTGTCACCCAACTAAAAGAATTACATTTCCCTGAGTCACTTACAGCTTGGTATTGCCATGTGACTAAGTTATGGCTAATGAGCTCTATGTGGTGTGTGTAACTGTCAATAATTATCTTTAAAAAGGTCCTCAGGGACTACTATGAACATCTCTATGCACATAAACTAGAAAATCTAGAGAAAATAGATAAATCCTAGAAACACACAATCTCCCAAGACTGAAACAGGAAGAAACAGAAATCTTGAAAAGACCAATAATGAGTTCCAAAATGGAATCAGTAATAAAAAAAAAATCTACCAACCAAAAGAGTCCTGAGCCAGAAGGATTTATAGCAGAATTCTACCAGATGTACAAAGAAGAGCTGGTACCATTTCTACTAAAACTATTCCAAAAAATTGAGGAGGAATGACTCCTTCCTAACTCATTCTACAAAACCAGCATCATCCTGATACCAAAATCTGGCAAAGACACAACAAAAAAGAAAACTATAAGCCAATATCCCTGAAGAACATAGATGCAAAAATCCTCAAGAAAATACCAGCAAACCAAATCCAGCAGTACATCTAAAAGTTAATTCACCATGATCAGTTGGATCTTATTCCTGGGATGCAAAGATGATTCAACATACACAAATCAATAAATGTGATTCACCAAGTAGAATTAAAAACAAAAACCATATGATCATCTCAATAGATATGGAAAAAGCATCCAATAAAATCCAACATCCCTTCATGGTAAAAAAAAAAACCCTCAACAAATGAGGCATCAAAAGAATACCTCAAAATAATAAAAGCCATCTATGACAAACCCACAGCCAACATCATACTGAATGGGCAAAAGGTGGAAGCATTCCCCTTAAGAACTGCAACAAGGCAAGGATGTCCACTCTCACCACTCCTGCTCAACATAGGACTGGAAGTCCCACCCAGAACAGTCAGGCAAAAGAAAGAAATAAAAGGCGTCCAAACAGAAAAAGAAGAAGTCAAATTATTTCTTCACTGATGATATGTTTCTATACCTAGAAAACCTTAAGGATTCTGCCGAAAGTCTCCTAGACCTGATAAATGACTTCAGCAAAGTCTCAGAATACATAAATCAATATACAAAAATCACTATCATTTCTGTACACCAATAACATTCAAGCTGAGAACCAAATCAAGAATGCAATCCCATTTATAATAGCCACACACACCAAAAAAATACCTAGCACTAGATTTAGCCAAGGAGGTAAGATCTCTACAAGAAGAATGACAAGACACTGCTGAAAGAAATCATAGGTGATACAAACAAATGGAAAAGTATTCTATGTTCATGGATTGTAAGAATCAATATTACCAAAATGTCCATACTGCCCAAAGCAATCAAATAATTCAACACTTTTCCTATCAAATTACCAACATCATTTTTCACAGATTTAGAAAAAAACTATCCTAAAATTCATATGGAACCAAAAAAAAGCTCAAAGAGTCAAAACAATCCTAAGCAAAAAGAATAAAGCCAGAGGTATCACATTACCCAACTTCAAATTATACTACAAGGCTACAGTAATCAAAAAAGCATAGTACTATTACAAAAACAGACACACAGGCCAATGGAATACAATAGACACTCCTGAAATAAAGCTGCACATCTACAACCAACTGATTTTTGGCAAAGTTAACAAAAATAAACAATGGGGAAAGGATACCCTATTGAATAAATGGTGCTGGGAAAACTGGCTAACCATATGAAAAAGAATCAAACTGGACCCCTACCTCTCACCATATACAAAAATTAACTCAGTAGACTAAAAACTTAAATGAAAGGCCTCAAATGATAAAATTTCTGAAAGAAAACCTAGGAAATACCCTTCTAGACACTGGCTTAGGCAAGGAATTTATAACTTAAGTTCTCAAGAGCAAATGCAACAAAAACAAAAATTGACGATTGAACTAAAGAGCTTCTGCAAAGCAAAAGAAACTATCAACAGGGCAAACAGACAACCTACAGAGTGGAAGAAAATATTTGTAAACTATGCATCTGATAAAGGACTAATATCCAGAATCTATAAGGAACTTAAAGAAATCAATAAGAAAAACACAAACAACCACATTGAAAAGTGGACAAAGAACAAACACTTCTCAAAAGAAGATATACAAATGGGCAACCAAGATAAAAAATGCTCAACATTACTAATCATCAGAGTGATGCAAACCAAAACTACAATAGGATACCATCTCACACCAGTCAGAATTGCTATTATTAAAAAGTCAGAAAATAACAGATGTCAAGGTTGCAGAGAAAAGGGAATCTTTCTACACTGTTCATGGGAATGCAAATTACTTCAGCCCCTGTGGAAAGCAATTTGGAGATTTCTCAAAGAACTAAAAATAGAATGACCTTTAGACCCAGAAAACCCAATACTGGGTATATACTCAAAAGAAAACAAATCATTCTACCAAAAAGACACCCACACTCGTATTCTCATCACAACACTATTCACAATGGCAAAGACATGGAATCAACACAGGTGCCCATCAACGGTGGACTGGATAAAGAAAATGTGGTATATATACACCATGGAATACCACACAGCCATAAAAAAGAATGAAATCATGTCCTTTGCAGCAGCATTATCCTAAGTGAGTTAACACAGAAACAGAAAATCAAATGCCACATGTTCTCACGTGTAAGTGGGAGCTAGGCATTGGGTATACAAAGACACAAAGATGGGAACAATAAGCACTGGGGATTCCAAAAAGGGGGAGTGGAGGGGAGGAAGGAGGAAGAGGAACAAGAGTTGAAAATCTACCTGTTGGGTACTATGTTCACTGCTTGGGCAATGGAATTATTAGAAGCCCAAACCTCAGAACCACGTAATATACCCATGTTATACACCCGCACATGTACCCCTGAATCTAAAATTTAAAAATAATAGTACTAAACATTCTCTTTAAAAATGAGGGGCTCCAAACTTCTTCTCCCACTTTTTCCTTCCTGTTGCCTAGAAGGTGCATAATTGAGCTGGAGTTCAAGCGGCCATCCTGTGTCACAAGCTGATGTGATAAAGATGGTGCAACGGCAAGGGAGAAGGAGCTTGAGTCCCTAGTGACCAGAAAGCTGCCAATACAGCCTTGGACTGCCTACCTGCAGGTTTCTTGTATGTGAAATAGTAAGTGGTTATGACTTTAAGTCACTATTGTCTTAAGTTTTTCTTCACTGATGAATCTACACCTCACAGATTTCAACTAGAATGTGTGTGTGTGTGTACAGTATATAATATATAAATATATATATTATAAAACAGCTAACATAAACTAGGCTCCTACTAGGTGTCAGGCTGTAAATACTTTGAGATATTGTGTATGTCTGTGTATCTCAAAGTTTGTGTGTGTGTGTACAGTGTAAATACTGGACACACACACACACACATCTCAAAGTATTCACAGCCTGAAACATAGTAGGAACCTCATACATGTTAGCTCTTTTTTAAATCTAGTATAACTACAATCAACTCAAAATGTATAGGTATCTGTAAACCTCCCATGGTTAGACAGATGGCAGAATTAGAAAAAAAAAATTGTTAGATGCCACAGGTACAGCCAAAATGTGAACAAGCCCTACTCTTTTTTATTTTCTATAGTCATCTCTAAAAGTCCTCAAGCCTGAAATATCTCCTAGGTATCTTCTAATTGATTTGGGTTTGTTTACTTTTCCTATTAACCCAAAGCGGAGGTTTATCTGCCAAGTTTGTTTTCTTATCTCTCTTCTCTGGCATCACCAACTTCTGTCCTTTGGTGAAACCTCTCCCTATTTCCAAATGGTGCAGATAGGACTGACAATCAGGTTGAGGAAGCCAAGGTAATCAGAGTGCTCCATGCCTCTAGTGACAGTGATTGGTCTGGGGATGGGGATGTGACTCCAGAATCCTCATATGGAAATTCTACTGAAGCTAGTAGAAAGGACAATGTCCTGTCTTAAGGGTCGTGGTTCATAAGCCTATCAGGTTGGTGCTGTCGGCCACATGGAGGAAACTGAGACTGAAGTCAACATATTTTTAGACTTCCCAGTTATGTAAGCCAATAAATTCCCTTTTGCAGGGGGTTTCCATCTCTTGTCATTGAAAAAGATCTCAAGACTAATATTAGACTAACCATTTTTCTTTATCCTTTCTTTTTTTTTTTTTTCTTTTGAGACAGAGTCTTGCTCTCTTTGCCAGGCTGCAGTGCAGTGGCATGATCTCCACTCACTGTGACCTCCGCCTCCCAGGTTCAAGTGATTCTCCTGCCTCAGCCTCCCAAGTAGCTGGCATCACAGGCACACACCACCACACTTGGCTAATCTTTTTTTTGTATTTTTGGTAGAGATGGGGTTTCTTTGTGTTGGCCAGGTTGGTCTCAAACTCCTGACCTCAGGTGATCCACCTGCCTCGGCCTCCCAAAGTGCTGGGATTACAGGCATGAGCCACCGTGCCCGGCCTAGACTGATCATTTTTCTATGTGACCTAACAAGTTCACTGGCATATTAAGGATAAAACAGATTGGGAAACTACAGCATCAACAACTTTTCAGTGTCTATCTTAATATCTCCTTAGCACCTTACATTGTTTACTCATATAATATTACTCATATAATTATTAATATCACATGGAAATTGGGAAATCTTTGCAGCATGACTTCATCTAATATAGATATGAGACTATTGCCATGATTTTCATCCTTCTAATTATTTTTCAAGAAGCTAATTCAGTTTTTACATATCAACATTTAGAAAATGACTTTGGCTTGCTACTTAAATGTTACATTATTCTTGTGGCTTCCTTGGAAATCCAGATTTTCATGTACTGATAGAAATACTTCCTCTACCAGATACATAAACACAGCATAGCAGCTTTCAGCACAATTTCTCTCATTAAAGAAGCAATTCCATTTTTTAAAAAGAATCATACAAAAGAAGTTTGTTATTTTATTTAAAAAGGATACTGCCTAGTTGTAACATTAAACCTGATTTTTGTCTCAGTAAGAAGAAAATGTGGTGTTCTTATGATAAAGTAAACACAACTTAAATTATAAGAAAAAGAAATATTGATTGCCAAAGATTCTAGTGCTTGAGAGTGAATACAAGTTAGTAAACATACATTTAAATCTCGACAGAGCCATAGATGAAGAATATTTTATTTATGAATAAGAATAATTCCTGACACAATTGGCTAGGCACCGAAACTCAGAGTGAAAACACAGACACTCCCAAGTGAAAATATACTGTACTTCTATTATCATTTAGATTGAGGCAAAATAGGGTTTCCTAAGAAATAAATATTCTTAACAAGCAAATAAAGAATTCAGCCATTGGGATTTTCTTATTTTACAACTGTTTTAGCTTTTATAACAAAGTTTTTAGCACTCTGAAAGCTTTTTATGGCTCTAAATATGCTACAATTACATGAACAACACTATTTAATTAGCACACATTCAGTGCATGGCTCTATAATGGGAATTTTCATTAATTAAAATCAATGGAAATACAAAAGCAGTAGCTGTAAACAATTTGAGGAATCAAGAATCTAATTTGCCTATTGCACAACAAGGAAAAACACCTTGCAGTTATGTGAATAATTTTGGCTTGCGTAGCAGCTGCATGTCTAACTGGTAGTTTCAGGCTTCATTCCACACATATTTACTGGGTATTTACTATGGGCTGGCACTATTATATGTGATTGGGAATCATTAGTGAAGAAAACAAAAAGATCCCTGTACTTGTGAAGCTTGCATTCTAGCAGAGGAGATAGGTAATGTACAATAACACAGCACATAAGTAAATTATATATTAGAAGATGATAAGTGCTATGAAAAAAAAAATGTGGCATCAGGTAGGGGAGTGAGGAATGCCATGGTGGTTGGGGCAGAGATGGGCTGCAGTTTTTAGTAGCCTGGTCAGAATGGGCCTCACTAAGAAGGTATCATTTGAACAAAGACTTTAAAGAGGTGACAGTGTGAGCTATCTGGGTATGTGGGGAAAGAGCATTCCAGACACAGAAAACAGCCAGGGCAAGAGCCTTTAAGGCTAGAGGTTTCCGGAATGTTAAAAGCTGAAGCAGAGTAAGCAAAAGGGAGAATATTAGAAAAACAAAACAAAACTATAAGGTAAGGTCCCCTTTGTTTACAAGGGGGAAGTGGATCATGGAAGCTGGCCTTTTTGGCAGGGCTGGCTAAACTATTGTGGAGCCCAGTGCACAATGAAAATGCAGGGCCCCTTGTTGAAAAAGTAGAGGAAAAGTGCTGTTAAAGGTACCAAAATATAAAACTTTTTCCCTTAAAAACATTTTAGTATTTGTAATATAGGGATAACATAATTAGAGGAATAATAATAAATGAGTAAGGGATAAATTTCCAAATTGCAAAAATATAATATGTTGATGCTATAATTTTATACAATATAAAACAATAATACTTTATTAATATATCTTGACTGATCACACAAATTTCCTCGCTTACTTTTCTACATATTCATTTATTTGATCATTGAAGTTTATATTTTTAGCAACTTCATTTTCAATGGATATAATTGAAAGCAATGTCAATTATTTTTGATACATTCCAGCTCACAAATCATTTTTTCTGATTTTCATTTTTATTTTTTAGCTTTTTAATTTTTGTGGGTCCATAGTAGGTGTAAATATTTAAGGCGATACATATGGCTATACAGCCATGCAATGCATAATGATCACATCATGAAGAATGGGCATACATCCCCTCAAGCATTTATCCTTTGTATTACAAATAATCCAATTACACTCATTTAATTATTTTAAAATGTACACTTAAGTTATTATTGACTATAGTCACCCTGTTGTGCTATTCAATAGTAGGTCTTATTCATTCTTTCTATAAGGTTTGCTAACTTTTAATTTGGAGAAAGATCTTTCAGTTGATCTCAGTTATCACTAGAGCTAAGAGTATTTTATAAACTGTGACAACATTAAGGTAAATTTCTGTAAATTACTTCGAAATGTAAGTTTTAGTATGTTCAAGCTGATGATCCTTGCAAACTAATTTTTCTAAAAAGATTTAACCCTACATGCAAGTCAGTTTCATGGAAGTTTGAATTTTGTTTTAAATGTAAATATATACAATGCATTTTAATGTTTCCTATGATATTTCCTGTCACTTGTGGAGGTTGAACAAGAAACTGAAAGAAGCTTCATGGTAAGTTCATAATTCAAAACACCTGCTTATGCATTCCCTCACTGTATCTACTATTACAAGAAAAAAATTAACTTCAAAATTGTCTTCCTTATTAATAATTGGTTCATCTGAAGTTTCACATGAAAATGGTATCCATAATTTTAATTTTTTTTTTTTTTGAGTTGGAATCTTGTTCTGTCACCCAGGCTGGAGTGCAGTGGCACGATCTCGGCTCACTGCAACCTCTGCCTCCCAGTTCAAGCCATTCTCATACCTCAACCTCCCGAGTAGCTGGGACTACAGGCACATGCCACCACACCCAGCTAACTTTTGTATTTTTTAGTAGAGACAGGGCCAAGCTGGTCTTGAACTCCTGACCTCAGGTGATCTGCCTGCCTCAGCCTCCCAAAGTGCTGGGATTAGAGGTGTGAGCCACCGCACCTAGCCTTTAAATTTAATTTTTATTTCTAAGCCTGTAGATATTTGCCTTACAAAGTTGCAGCAGTTTTCAAAACTGGTAATTCTAAATTCTGAAGAATTCTAACAACTTCTTGATATGTTTTATTGCGATGTTAACATGCACACTTTAATTTTGTAATAATTTACTGATTAAGTTTGCTGCCTGAGCTCCAAAAGTTTCTGTTCAGACACTCAGGACAAAGAGATTGGCTCTGGTACCTATGGGATAGCCACCTCCTAGGCAAGTCCTGGTCCAGCCCCCACGGGAAGCCCTGCTCTGGCATGGCCACACTGCCACTTCTGCTCATGCTGTCACAGCTGCTACCACCAATCTGGGTCCAGGTTCCAGGATATCCTCCTGCTGGGGTCCCCATGGTATCCTGGACTGCTCTGAGGTGTATACAGCGGGCCAAATGCTATTGCGTGGATGCTGCTCTGTGCCCGAGCCTGCCTGCGCACAAACTGCTGCTGGAGCATAACAACTTGCGTGTGCTGCTGCTCCACAGATCTCCCCTGTTCAGGTTTATGCTTTGTTGTCTCACAGGACTTCACTTACAAAACATACGTTCAAAGATAAAATTGTTAAGAATTTCAAGACAGCAACCGCTGAGCATTAAAACAAATGGACTGCACGAGGCCCAGGCCTAGGAAGCCAGAGTTCCTTCTAGGCCATCACAAGGAGCTGGCTTTTTCTCTGAGTGAAATATGGAGCCACTGAAGGGTTCTGAGCAGAGAAGTAACATCATATCCTTCACCTGCAGTCACTAGTGAAGAATATTGGTTTTGCATTTCACACTAGAGACTAGGCTCAATAAAATCCTCTGATTCAAGCATTAAACTTCATTTACACAACTATTATTTTGCTTTTGGACATTCAATATGAACTCAAAAGGAATTTCTCAATCTTTACTCAGGTCAACAAATTTGGTATACACAAAATAGATCAAGTCTACTTATAAAATGTGGCCCTGATTTAATTAGATGCTTCTGATATAATGAATAAAAACCAACAAGAAGGAAGGTAATTGTAAGAATATGAGGGCATGTGGAAATGGGAATTTCCTCCAGACTTCCAGATCTCTTAGGACCCTTCTCCTTGTTTACCTTTGTCTAGTATAGCCTCTGCTGATTCCTAACTGTCATCTCCTTGTCCATAGTGATCCTTCCAGACTCTCATTCTCTCTACCTGAATGCCTTTCAGCTTCTGTTCCTGGTAATAGCCTGATTTGTCCAGATTTTCCCAGTTCACACCGCCAAGAGTGATAGTCTGATGGCCCCAGCTCATTTCTATTTGGGCAATGCTTCTAGCCCCTAGATTGACCTCCTATACCATAAGCAGGCAGCCTTTGTTTTGCTGCCCTTGACTCAGATTCCTTCGGCCATGGCTGCAGACGACAGTGTCACAGGATCACAACATAGTTCCACTGGAAACTGGGTAGAACATTTTTCCTTATCAAAAGCTGTGAGGACTGTAAGTATGGCAATGACATAATTGGATGCTTGCCCAATATGTCTCTCACACAACTTAATATCTTTCATTTCAGTGTATTGCTGTGCCTGAAATTGGACTAATTTTGGTAAACAAAAATCTTTTTCTCCAGGCTGGTCTTGAATTCCTGGGCTCAAACGATCCTCCCACCTCAGCCTCCCGAAGTGGTGGAATTGTAGGCATGAGCCACCAAGGCAGTCAGGATCTTTCTGTTAATAACACAAATTCCTTTAAGAAAGTTAGACTTATTTGCAGTGCTTGATATACAGCTGACACTCAGTAAATATTAGCAGAATGAATGTCAAATGAAGTTTCATATATCTAATTTAATTATTTTCCTCTGAGAACGGCTACACTGAATGAAGAAATTTTATAAACAAAAGGAAGAAATGTCATTTGCATGCAAAAATTTGACAGAGCATGGGAGTTGGATGCAGTAGGTAAAGTACTTGGGCATCTGGAGCACAGGAGAAAAAACTCAGGAGGTGAGCAGTAAAAGGGAAAGTTGCCTTTCATTTCCCAACTCCACCCCACCCCCATTTCCACCCCCCGGCCACCAAGACAAAATCCACCAACCCCCCACCCCCACTCCCGGCCACCAAGACAAAACAAACATCTCAATTTTGCCTATTTGTCATGGCCACAAGGAAAGAGTTAACACTGTTGACTGCTACTGAAAGGTAAAATGGGATGAAGACTGAACAAAGCCCACTGATTCAGTGACATGAACATCATTAGTGAATTTAGCAAGGATGATTTCAATGAAATTGAATGAAACACATAAATGCTGGGTGTGATAAAGCAATTTAAGAAACAAAAGACTATGAAAGGAAGATCTATTCTAGTTTCAGCTCCACAACCTAATTACTGGGTAACCCCGCAGAAACCAATTAAATGCTCAGGGTCCCGTTTTTCATCTAAAATGGGAATAATAATATCTATCAACCCATAGGGTCATTATAAAAATTAGGTGAGATAATATACGTGAAACTGCTCTTATATTGGCAAAGCTTTATATAAAATAATATATATTCTTAGTGTTATCAATTAATAAGTAAATTTGTTCCTATTATTTAGCAAGAATTACACTAAAAATTCTGACCAGAAACACATGGCCTAGTATAAAAGTAAGGCTCAAATTCACTGACAATGATAGAAACTCTGCTAAAAGTGCTCTGCTCCAAGTAAAGGAACTTTTAAATGAAGATATTTAGATCTGCAAGTGATAAAGCACGAGATAAATTTACTGCTGTATATTCTCCAACCATTCTAACAACATATTTTCAGTATGATTTTGCTTTTGCCAGTCAATTATAAAGTCAAATAACTATAGTAAAAATCTTGCCAGTTGTAATCAATCACTACACATTTGTATAGGAAGGATTTTCCAGAACACCTTGCTTCCTACTTGTGTTCTTTCTATATCTCTCTTTTGGAGGCTATCAAGGTGAGAAATAATAACTAGAAATATCTTTGGTTTATTTGTAAGTGTATCCTCAAGTCCTGAATTGAAGATCTGATATAAAATTGCAAACTTTTTGGTGCCTCGGGAGAAACCAAATCTAAAAAGAGTTAAGGGGGAAAAAAATCATACAGAAAAACATTCATAACTTGGTAAAATTCTGAATTGGGATGAAAATCCTTTTCTATAAAAATGTCAGTGGGGAGCCAAAAATGGATGATAGCTAATACTCATTGAGCATGCACTATGTACTTACTGAGCAATCACATATACTGGGGCATGTGATTTTCACGTACAGCTCATTGGATTGTCATGGCAAATGAGGTAGATATTACAGTATCATTTTCCCCACTTAAAGATAAAAAGCTGGTTCAGGCCAGGCGCGTTGGCTCATGCCTGTAATCCCAGCACTTTGGGAGGCCAAAGCAGGTGGATCACCTGAGGTCAGGAGTTCAAGACTAGCTTGGCCAACATGGTAAAACCCTGTCTCTACTAAAAATACAAAATTAGCAGGGTGGGGTGGCACATGCCTGTAATCCCAGCTACTTGGGAGACTGAGGCAGGAGAACTGCTTGAAGCTGGGTGGCAGAGGTTGCAGTGAGCCAAGATCGTGCCACCGCACTCCAGCCTGGGTGACAGAGAGAAACTCCGTCTTTAAAAAAAAAAAAGCAAAGCTAGAACAGAGAAAGATGAAATAACTTGCCCAAGGACATAGAGCTAATAAGTATTAAAGTTGGGATCTGAACTGCACTTATATGGCTCCAAAGTCCCTGCTCTTAGTCAATGTGTTATATGGTCTCCCCCAATTATATCTTTAGAGAAAATGTTCAGCTTTCTGAAAATAATCTGTTAAGCACCTAACTTAGTCTAAATAGTTTCAGATTTCTCTTAACTTGTAACGTTCCTGTGAATGTTAACTATAGTGCTTTAAATCAAGAGTGGGTCCCTTCTGAGCATGGGGCCCTGTGTTATGACATAGGTCTCATGTATATGAAGCCGGTTCTGGCTTTAGGATAAGGTGCTTTAATTTATTTTAGAAATAAGTGGGAGGTAAATTATAAACAAACAAATACCAATTTCGGAATTGTAAAGTCGTTTAGAGCACATCTTGGATCTCTGAGGAAGATACTAACAACAAATACCACTGGTATCATCTGTCCCTATCTGCATCACCCCACAGCCTAGCTGTAGGCCTAGGTGAGTGAATCTCAAACCTTAGTGTGCATCAGAATCACCTGGAGGGCTTGTTAAACTACAGATAGTTCTGATTCAATAGGTCTGGGTGAGGCCTGAGAATGTGCATTTCTAACAAGTGCCCAGGTAACATTGATGCTGCTGGGTTACGGACCACACTTTGAGAACCACTGGCCTAGACAAAAGAGCAGGTGTCTATATAGCGTGATTTTAGTCATTGAAAAGATCTCTGTCCAAAAAGTACTTCAGGAAGGAAACAGAAATAAAACTCACTTTATAAGAAATAAAGCCCATCACTGTGCATTTAAGCAATAAAGGGAAGGCTGACAGGTGCTAAAGGATCATCCTCTATCTGCCAATTCTCTTCCTCAACAAATACTCAGAGTATCTAATAGACACCTGACACTATTCTAGGAGCCAGGAACACTACAGTGAACAAAGGTAAAGAGGAGACCTTGCCTCCATGAAGTTTAATTCACACACAGGTGAGGCTCAAAGTGCCATGATGTGAACACCCCAGAAGCAGCCTTCAACCAATAATGGGCAGGAGTGGTCAAGTACCCTGGCTTCTTTGCCCCTTGGGTGGGACAACTCTGAGACATGTTCCTAACAGTTCCCCAGTGGGTACCAGTAGAAATAAGTCCCAGTTGCTTACAGTGGTAACCTGCTCCTTAAAGGACCCTACCTTCCTTTCCTTCGCTTTCTCACTTCCCTACTGCACTCCTGGTGCTTCCTGAACTCACCTCCCAAACAAATTACTTTCCCTGGAATCCTAGCCTCAGGATCTGCTTCTGGTGGCACCAGCTTAAGAGATGTCTCTTCATGCTGCAGAATCAGTGCATCTCCGATCCACTGGTTCGTCTCTTTTATTATCTTAGGAAACCCCCAACTAACTTTTTAATCCAAGTAACGCTTTTTATTTTACCGCTGACCCAGTAATTTTCACCCCTTGCATATACAATATTCTGTCAAGGAATCCTACTTCTTACAATCAAATAGCTTCATGCAACTCTTATGCTTTTTTTTCTGTAGGTATTTTATCAAAAATTATGAATAACTTGTAGTTATTATTGCAAAAATGATAGTATGCAATTTCTTGATCAATTATTCTTAAGAAGAGAAACCGAGATTTAGGCTCACTTTTTACCTACAGTAATAAAATCTGTGTTTGAAATGTGCATCTTTAATACATTCTATACTGGTTACATCAACTGCTGTTGTTTTATTCACATTCAACAGCTGTAGGTAGAATGGGAATATTATCCCCTTCCTTGTTAAGTCCTTGATGGAGCTTGTCAAGGTCATCATCTTGTATAATTACATGGCTTTAAGCTGATATGTTAGTGTCCCTGTTTTTAATCATAAGACCATGTTCTCAGTTGAAAATGTAATTTTAAAATTGTCACACTTAAAAGTTTAGATTTAAGTATAATTGTAAAGTCACAAAAGCCAGAAATGTGATGTCATCAGGAAATTCAGCATAGCAGCAAGTAAAGCCAAGTGCAGGTACATGTTTATAAACAACGCATCTGGCAAAGTGCAACTGTGGCCAGAAGTTGAACAGATTTAGGGAACAGGCAATGAGTTTTTGTACAATTCAGTGGTGAATAACGTTTCCTGTAAACTTGGAAAAAAAACAAAATGTCACTGGTGTTTTTGTGAATTTCAGATGGGATTAGCTTTATTGAATCCCCTGGGGGAGAAGTTCCAGTGCAATAACTGAGATTGCCTAATTTACAGAATAGAAGAATATCACAGAACAAATGTCACTAAAATTTTTATAACTGAGGATTTTCTTACTGCTTTATTTTGAAATAATGATAAATTTACAGGAAGTCATAAAGAGAGTATAGAATAGTTCTCTGGACCCCATTTGCCCCAGTGGTTACATATTGCATAACTGTAGTACATTTTCAAAACCAGGAAATTGACATTGGTAGAATGTATGTGTATAGTTCTATGCCGTTTTCTCACATGTGTAGAATTAAGCAATCACCACTGCCATCAAAATACAGAACTATTCTATCACTATAGAAATCTACTGGTGTTAACATTTTACCAGTTTGAATGAAGTGTAGAAACCTTACTTCCCTTAGGGCCCCCTTCTCTTTAAAACACATAGGGGTGGAGTCACGGGTTTTTCCATGGTATCTGGACGGAGTAAGGCAACTAGTATCTACAAGTTTTCTGTCTTGCTAGGCTGCCAGTCCCCTGGCCCTCTTGCTAGAGACAGTAGACTCTTCTTGAGGATTTTGTCTGAGCCCACTGGTGTTTCTGGGTGTCTGGTTTCTCCAGCATCCAATCTGGGCAGGGTGGTTAAGTGTCCCCGCTCTGTGCAGATATATGAGGGGAAAAATCCAAGGGGATTCACCATTCTGTCACTTCTCAGGTCCTGAGGTCTCTAGCTAGGCTATCTTCTCTTCAACTTTCAGAGTCATGTTTCTTTGTATATGACGTCCAGAGTCTTTAGCTGTACTTAGTAAGGGGAATAGAGAGAAGTGTGTCTACTCTATCTTGGTCTGGAACCAGAGGTCACTAAGCATGTTTTTTGAGTGGCAAAGAAATTAAAGATTTCTAATTTTTTCATCCCTTACATTGAATAGGGCACTGACGCTTGTAAAGCACATTGTTTCTTTTCATCTTTAAAACAACCTTGTAAACTTGGTGTTATTAGCATCCCCTTTCTCAGAAGGGATAACTGATTCAGAAGTGATATGTCTGATTCAGAGTCACATAGGGAGTTAGTCACAGGGCTAGGGCCAGAATTGGATTATTTGACTTGATGCCAAATATTTTGAGCCAGAAAAGGTAAAACCATGAGTACACAGAAGTGAATAACTAAGATTTTTTTAATCCTCTTTTGTGAGCCTTTTTCTCCCTATTCTGTCCTCCTTGTCTTGAAAGAGCAGGATCTCTTCTCTGGTTGGATTAGCAGAACTGGGTGTGCTAGGCAACCCACGGCATTATCAGCAAAGCCTGTTTCCTAAAGAGCAACAGGCAAAAGTCCTGCTGGGCAATGACCTTGGCACAACTGAGAGTGTGGTACTGCCCCCTGCCATGAGAAAATCCCCTGCATCAAGCCTTGGCCTCCCACCCAGCAAGAGCTCATGTGCAAAAGTTGTCAAGCACATCCTTCTCCAAACCTGAGAGGGTAGCGTCCCTTTACAGTAAGAAGAGAGTGAAGGAAAAGAGAAATCTTCTTACTATAAATTGAAAGGCTGCTCCTGATAATGTTCATCACTGGTGAAATCAAAGGTTAACCAGTGGTGGCTCATAATGACTAATAGCTTTCCAAAAGCCAACCTCATTGGCCTTATTGTAGTGTAGGTGCCTTAGCTGTTCAGCACCAGCTACTGGGACTGTGTCATAGCATAGCCAGTCCTCCTGCCAGTGCACATTCTATTCATTTTGGTCAAACCATCATGCTCTTACAAAACATTGAATTTCCAAATTTTTGCAAAATTACTCACTGCACATAAAGTAAATTTCCTACACCCCAAGCTTTTAGGTAAAACATAGATTGGCTCTATTAGAAAACTGGAATTCTGCAAACTTGCAGATGTGTGCTAAGACCTCACAAATGTCTAGACTTCATAGTTTTCCTCCCTAAGTCTTTGAATGAAATGGGCACTCAAGGATAATGTACTATTTTTGCTTGAAGCTTCAGGTATTCTCTGATAGCCTACCACATATTCCAGAGATTGATGCACTTCAGTTTGAGAAGCACAACACTAGATAAAAAAAAAAAAACAAATAAAACAAGACGCTCTTTTGTATACTGCAATACCATAGACATTTGTAGACTTCTTAAATCTTACCTTTATAAAAAAATTCATCCAGAAATTAATGAGCAAAATTCAGATGACAAAAGGCAGTTTTGACAATGTTACTAATCAACCCAAATAGATTTCAAAGACACCTGAGATTAGAAGAGGCATCATGATGAAGCACTTCCTAGTGGAAATGTACTAAATAATAAATAACCACAAAGATTATTTTACTTTATTTCCAATAATACAAAGTTCAAGCTTTACTATTTCTCCCCATACATGCAGTCCTATACAGCTTTGGTCCCTGCCATTTTTGGCACCAGGGACTGGTTTTGTGGAAGACAATTTTTCCACCAAATAATTGTGTGTTGTCGGAGGGATGGTTTTGGGATGAAACTGTTCCGCCCCAGATCATCAGGCATTAGTTAGATTCTCATAAGGAGTGTGTAACCTAGATTGCTCGCATGCACAGTTCACAATAGGGTTTGTGCTCCTATGAGGATCTAATGCCGCAGCTGATCTGACAGGAGGTGGAGCTCAGGCAGTAATGCTCCCTCCACCAGCACTCACCTCCTACTGTGTGGCCCAGTTCCTAACAGGCCACAGACTGGTACCGGTGCATGGCCTGGGGCTTTGGGGACCCCTGCTACATAGTCATGCACATAATATCACTGGTTTGGACGAAGTAGAAAAGATGTCTAAATTGGTGAGATTCCTGAATTACAGAATTTTGGACAGAAATGTGATTAGTTTTATTTAGCCTTAATTGCATACAGTAACCAGAATTAAGTTACCATGTGTTAACCCAGTAGAATAACTTTAAAGGGCTAGTTTAAAGTGGTCAGATTTTATGTTGGGAATGTGTTCTTGAAGGCTAATCTTCACTAGGAATAGCGGACATTTCTGTTTAATATCTGAAGTGGTATAGTGTCTATTCAAAGGCCTGCCAAATTATGTAATTCTTAAAAATTTGATTTTCAATGTATGGGGATACATTACTTTAAATATTGTGCATAAATGACACTTTATTTTATCAGTATTTTATGTTTTACCATTTCAAAGTCATACAATTTGCATAAAATATAAACATCCTGTATACAGCATATTTAAAGTCAATGAAAAAAGTGATTCCCTCCCCAGGCTCTTAAATAAGTCAATTTGCTTAACAACACTCTCCTACAGAGATGAATGAGAAGAAAATGTGAATCTGCCCCCAACTGTCTATTCACTGGTGCAGTACATGTTTCTGCAGAGGAGAAGCTTGGATTAGGGACAGTAAGATACTCCTAGCACCCTGGAGGAAAGAGGGCCTCACGCCTAGCAAATAAACACACCATGCCCTCAGCACATGCCATCCCTTCCCCATAGACACATGGGTAGGCCACAGTGAACAGAAACAGCATGCTCAAACAGACAAACGCATTCTCAAATGACAGGGATAAGCCCACCTCTAAGAATCACCAGTATCTGAGGGAAATCTGCACCAGGAAAGCGAGGCACCAAACTCATCAGAAGAACATGCACATAAAGAAAAAGAAGACAGAAAAAAAAAAAAACCCAGTGTTTCAAAAGATCATTATCTTCAGAGGGAAAGGGAGGATACCACATTCACAAGCAAGAATAGACTTTTTCATTTCCTAGAAATGAAAAATAATAGCAAAAATTAAAAAATTTAGAGGGATAAAGAAGAATTCACCACTGAAAAGCAAATTACCATGCTGGAAGTCTGTGCTGACAAATTCTTGCAGAACTCAGAACCACAGGGCAAAGAGAGGAGAACTATGAATGGGAAGTTGTAATATTTGAAGGATAGGACTGCAAGGTCCAGAAATAAAGAATAGATATGTTAGAGGTAAGAAAATTATTTAGGAGGCCGAGGTGGGAGGATCGCCTGAGCCCAGGAGTTTGAGACCAGTCTGAGACCCCATCTCTATAAAAAATTCAAAAAATTAGCCGAGTGTGGTAGCATGCATGTGTAATTTCAACTACTCGGGAGGCCTTGAGGCAGGAGGATCGTTTAAGTCCAGCAGATCAAGGCTGCAGTGAGCTGTGATCATGCCACTGCACTCCAGCCTGGGCAAAAGAGTGAGACTATGTCTCAAAAACTAAAAATTAAAAAATTAAATAATAAATAAATAAATAAAAATGAGATCACTTTAAAAAAAAAAGAAAGAATTTTTTTTAATTACCAAAGAAATGGTCCATGTGATGACCCTTGAATCTGAGTTTTCAGATTGAAATAGCTGACTGAGAGATAAGAATACATGAAAAAAAAATCCTTACCTAGACTCATTAATATCAAATTTCATAAAAACAAAAAAAGAAAAAAATCCTAAAAACACCTGGAAAGTAAAAAAAAAAAAAAAAAAAAGTATGTCTAAAAAGAAATAAGAATCAGATTGGCATGGACATCTTTTCAACAACCCTGTATGCAAAGAGACAATGAAGCAGTATCTTCACAGTTTGGAGAGGAAAGAACTATTAACACAGAGTGCTATACCCAGTCAAATGGCTGGGTATAGCAGCCTCAACCTGCTGGGCTTAAGTGATCCTCCCACCCGAACCTCCTGAGTAGTTGGAACTATAGGCATGCACCACCATGCCCAGCTGATTTTTAAAATTATTTACAGAGACAAAAATCTCACTATGTTGCCCAGGCTGGTCTTGAACTCCTGGGCTCATTTAACTGTGAAGGGAAAGGAAAGACTTCAGAAAGTTCCCCAGTCCTGAATTTTTTCTAAGAGGTTATTAGAGGATGATTACCAAAAGGAATCTAAGAATTAGACATGAATACAAGAAACAGTGATAGACAAAGAAATAGGTATAACTTTGAGATAATTAAAATAAACGTTAATAAAAATTAATAATAATAATTCAGACAGAAATATCAGTTGATCTCCACAGTGGAAGTTGTAGAGGTATAGGAGAGGCAAAGTAAAAGTATCCTAACATTCTTGACTAGAGAAAAGACAGAGAGAGCAAGACAGAGACAGAGACAAAGTTTTTGATATTGAGAAAAATACAAATGTTTAAATATCTGAATTTAAACTAGAGCTGTTGAAGTACAATGTACAACTTGAGAAAGAAAATGGAAGCAGCAACAACAGTCAAACCAACAAAAAGCAAGAAAGGAAAAAAAATTAGGGAGTATAATAAAGAGGAGAAAGAAAATAACATAGGAGGAATAGCTCCAAATTATGGCGATCATAAAAAAGATAAACTGGTTAAAGTAACTAATTAAAGATCAAGAACTGTGGGTTTAGCTAAAAAGGCAAAAGCAGCTATATTTTATTTATCAGGCCCATTCTTAAAAACAAAATGTCACAAGGCAGTTGACTAGGAGAAGGAGAAAGACAAGACAAAGGCTGACAGAAAAAAATAGCAAAACTAATTTCAGGAAAAAAAAAAGAATACAAGGAGAAAAGTAATAAAAAGGATAAAGAGGAATATTTCTTATTGATAAAAGATAAAACCCACCGGGACCAACTTGAGCTGCTTGGATAAAAGTGCTCTTGCCTGTCGTTTTTGAAACCTTGTTATCATGGAGTTTATCACATCAGTGAATAAAACGAAGCCCCTGCCTTCATGGAGCTTTGTTTTAGTGGAGGCAAATAGACACAAAAACTAATATAGAATTAAACTATATAATATGTCAGGGCCAGGTGCGGTGGCTCACACCTCTAATCCTAGCACTTTGGGAGGCCGAGGTGGGTGGATCACGAGGTCAGGAGTTCAAGACCAGCCTGGCCAAGATGGTGAAACCCCATCTCACAAGACAGAAAACCAAACACCGCATGTTCTCACTCATAGGTGGGAATTGAACAATGAAAACACTTGGACACAGGGTGGGGAACATCACACCCCAGAGCCTGTCATGTGGTTGGGGACAGGGGGAGGAATAGCATTAGGAGAAATACCTAATGTAAATGACGAGTTAATGGGTGCAGCAAACCAACATGGCACGTGTATACCTATGTAACAAACCTGCACGTTGCGCACATGTACCCTAGAACTTAAAGTAAAATAATAATTTAAAAAATGTCAGATGGTGATATGTGCTAAAATAAATAAAGTCAAATAGGGAAGGGTAACGGAGGTGCAATTTTAAATAAGGTACTGCAGGAAGGCCTTACTGAGAAAGCCGCTATGAGCAAAGATTTCAAGTTGCTGAGGGAGAAACCATGCAGATTTCTGAGGGAAGAGAATTCCGGGCAGAGGGAACAGCAAGAGGAAATGGTCACCGCACACAATTAAAGCTGCATAAATTAACTGAGAAGGAATGGAGAACCAGGAGAGTGTGACAAGTGAACAAAGTATTTGGAGGAGGATGGAGTGATCAACTGTGTCAAAATGGCAGACATATCACATAGCATGAGGACTGGGAAATGATCATTATTAAATTTAGCAAATAGAAGTCATAGTTGACTTTGACAAAAACAATTTCAGTGAGGCAGTGGAGGCGAAAGCTTGACAAGAACAGGGTTTAGGAGAGGAACTGAAGTAGTGAATATAGTAGGCCATTTCTGTAAAGTAAAGCTGAAGCAAAGGGCAGTGGCTGGAGGAGAAAGTGGGGTCAAGATGAGAGAGTCTGTAGTGGAAGGAAAACCCAGGCATCCATGAAAAAGAAACTTAAGGTTCCCTTCCTGAATGATGTTAGGAAGTTTAAAAATAAAACACACGAAACTAGCTATCTGAAAAATGACACAACCCAAATGATTACTAAAAAGAAGGGAATTTCAGAAATGTTTGACATCTAATCAAGGAGACTTGAATTTCATCTAAAGAGGTGTTATTGGATTGTTGGATTTTGATTATAACTCTGAAATAGTTTAAGCCTACTTGATTGTAAGTTACCTAATGAAGGAGACTGTATTAAAAAGACAAGGGCATGGTTTGCATAGGATTCATAAAACAGGAGTTTGAGAGACAAAATGTGGCACTGTGTTCCCAGCAATGTCCACTAAAAAAGGTGTACTGATGAGCAGACTTGAAAACTGGGATCATTTAGCAGGTATAATTTTCATTATTTAACTGTAAAGATGAATGTGTCTTGGGATTATCATTAGGTCATTAGCATCATCCAGATGATTTCAGATCAGAAAGCAAGCTTATGAGCAGTAGTTTTCCATATGGATTCCTTATAAGAGGACTCTGTGCTTGAGTGTCTAGTCCCTAGGAGACTGTGAATTCCTATTAATAAATTGGCATTCTGATTTATTTGGTACCCTCATGTGAGTTTGGTTCTAGTAGTCAGCAGCCTAGAATTAGCTAGATATATTAAAGCAAAGGGCCAAGCTTTGAAATGACACTGAGGTAGAGCAGGGCCAGCATCATTAGGCAGCCTCCCAGGTGCCACCCATACCTTATCCTTTGTCCATCTAACCATATGTTTGAAGTACCGTACTGAGGAAAGAACACTGAACTTAACAGTCAGAAAATCATCTAGGACTCTGCCACCACTACCCATGCAACCCTGAGTAGTGTCACTTAATTTCTGTGACCCTCAGTTTATATATCTTTACAAATAGGAGTAACAATAGCTAGTCTATTTTGCTGCGTTATTTTGTTTTGTTTTGTTTTGAGACTCAGAATCTAAATCTAAAACAAATGGTTATAGGAACAGAAGGTATTAATGCCATCATCATTACATGTCCTGCAGCCTAAGTATATAATTGATACACTTAAGCACACTACCACAGTTATCTGAGAATTGAAGGCAACATGAAAAACCACGAGCCCACTGAACAAAATATGGGAAATCCTACCTCCCAGCAACTGGTTTGGCAATGTTTTCAAAAACGGTCTCTTGGTTTGCATCCTGATCAAAAATTCTTTGAAATCTGCAATGTGAAAAATAGTAATTATTTAAAAGCTGCACCTCCAAACACTATCAGATTAATAAATCTTGTTTTTCTGAAAGCTCTATTAATTACCCCATATTTACATCACTGGGCTTACCTAACTTAGCACAATGTTTGCCCTGTAGTCTCAACCACACTGTGCTGTTGTACTCCTGTATACAAATGGTGGGTAAACAGTATTGCTTTGACAAGATCTGCACAATAAATCCCTCTGAAAAACTGCAGCAGCTTTGAACCAAATAACAAATTGTGTGCTTTTTAGCTCTCAAGAGGGACAGTGTCTACAATTGGCAAGAAATTCAAAACCAGATAGCTGCATGAAATGGAAATCCAAGAACAGGATGTAAACAGCCAAGGAACTTCTAATATCTGACCTGTGAGAAAAGAATGCAACTGTGAATTGTATGATTATTGAACTTAGTTTTAGTATTTTGAACTAAAGTTTATTTTTCCACTAATTTGGTGCTATATCCTAGCATCAACCATTTAATTCTCAGGATGGTTTTGTTTCATTTTGTTGACCATGAGTCAAAAGTCAAAAAGTAAATTATGATAGACCTGTCCCACAGAGAGAAGGTTTAATCAGATTGGCAATGGCTTAGGGGAAGAGAGTGGAGGTGTGGTGTCAATTTCACTCTTCTTGCAATGCTTCTCTGACTTAGCTTAGTACTGGATTGCAAGCACAGTGGAACACTCGGGGTAGAAGACACAGAATCTATTTTTTTTTTTTTTTTGAGACAGAGTCTCACTCTGTCACCCAGGCTGGAGTGCAGTGGCGCTATCTCGCCTCACTGCAACCTCTGCCTCCTGGGTTCAAGCGATTCTCCTGCCTCAGCCTCCCGAGTAGCTGGGATTACAGGTGCACCATCACTCCTGGCTAATTTTCATATTTTCAGTAGCGACAGAGTTTAGTAGAGACAGCTGACCTACCTCCATTTTAGAGAAGCAAACAATGAACTATACAAAGAGATAATCTAAGGCACTCTGGCTAGTATGTCATTTAGCAGGGAAGATTGTATTTTAGACAGTAATATTTACTGTTTAGTGTGCCCAGATTGCTTCTCAAAACTCTATAGATGTATCACAGCTTCAGATATGAACACCAACATAACACAGAGGTCAACATAACACATAGCTGCTGAACTGCTTTTCAGAGCACTGTGTAGTATGAGGTCTGAGCACATATTCTCAGCTTTTGAGGAGAATGATGATAACGCTGGTTCACTTCTTTTATCAGATGGGTGATGACTGGGTGAATCAATTAGCCATTTTCTACCCCACTTCTTTAAAAAAAGAGTAATTATATCTACTACCATGTAAATAAAAGAGATAGCAGAAGTTTTAAAGAAGGCAGTGAATCACACACAGAATATCTTCTGAAAGGTACCTTGTGTAAAATTAATGATAGCATTTTCATTTCTAATTGATCTATTCATTCCACAAACACATACTGAGGGCCTACCATGTACCAGTCACTTCTAACAAGATTTAAATTAAAAATATCTATAAAGGATATTGAATTCCTTGGGGGAAAATGACATCCTCCACTATTTAAAATAGCAGGTGGTAGAAACACAAGCAATCCAGATCTCCCTTTTTATTGACTTTTCCCCACACATTTTAGAAGAACGATTTTAGCACCAAAGTTTACAATAAACCATTAACTATATATTAAGCATCAAATGTCATCATCCCAAAATATTGCATTTTATACAATATAGTTGCATAGTAATCTGAAAAGGCATTTTGATCAGCTGTCTTCTGAAAACCACTGAAGAGCACAATAGGATCACAATTAGAAGGGATTTTAACAGGTTCAGTCTAATGATTAACAGAGGAAGAAGTCGAGATCCACAGAGATAAAGTAATTACTCAGAGTCTTAGAGCTCATCAATAATATGCCTTGAGACATAACTTAGGTTTCCTGATTCTTAGGAGGTCTTTTCATTTGTTAGGAACTTGAGTAGGCTTTTTCTAAACTCCATTTCAAACTCAGCATATGCTGACTTCTTCCCACCCTAAAGAATGGTGCACTTCCTGTGCTCTTCCTCATCTCAGAAAGCAACAGCTCTATCCCTCTAAATGTTCAGTCCAAAACCATTAGGATCTGCTTGACTCCTCTGTTTCTACTATACTTTATGTCTAATCCATCAGCAAACTCTGTCAGGTGAGACCTTCACAATATATCCAGAATTCAATTATTTCTCAACATTTCCACTGTTACCACCTTGGTCCACGCTACCATAATTTCTTGCCTGGTATCTCTTGCAATAGCCTAACTAGTCTTTTCCCCCTTCCAGCCTGTTTTCCACATGTCAACAAGAGTGATCCTGCTAAAACATAAGTGAGATAATTTCATTCCTCTGCTCAAAGCCCTCCATTGCCTTCTCACGGCTCAAGTCCTCACAATGACTTATAAGGCTCTAAGTGATCTGGCCATTCTGCTGCCTCATGCTTACTCTACTCCTCATGCTTACTCTACTCCTCATGCTTACTCTACTCATGCTTACTCCCCTCTACCTCTTGCTTACTCTACTCCAGCCACATAGATCACTTTTTCTCAAACATGCCGGGCGTTCTCCCCATTAGGGATTTCACTCTTGCTATTCCCTTGGCCTGAAAGTCTCATCCCTTAGATACTTGAATGGCTGGCTTCCTCACCTCCATCAAGTCTTTGCTCAAATGTTCCTTTGCTGTACACCTTCCCTGACCTATTAAATGTTGCAACCATTCCTCTCCTTCACCCCCCTCATCCAGCACTCCTCATTCCCCTTCTTTGTCACACTTTTCTCCATGGCACGTAGCACCTTCTGACGTACATTTTGCTTACTGATCTTCTCCTCTATCTCCTCCCACTAAAATGTAAGCTCCCTAAGAGCAGGAGCTTTGTTGTGTTCCCTGCTGTATTCCTAGCAATTAAAACAGCTCACAGTGGGTAGCCAATAAGTATTTATTGGTTGAATAAATGTTCTTGGGGGAAAACAGCCTTTAAAATGCTTAAATATTTATCTCTGAACATATGTGTAAGTTGAATATTTTATTAATTTTTAATTTTGAATATTAAAACCATTATTTTCAATTCAGAGATTTAAAAATAAGCCAATGGTGCTTTTACAACAATTGCACTTTGTTTGTATCTATATAAAGAATACTTTGGGGCCAGGTGCAGTGGTTCACACCTGTAATCCTAGCACTTTGGGAGGCCGAGGCGGGCAGATCACTCGAGGTCAGGAGTTCTAGACCAGCCTGGCCAATGTGGTGAAACCCTGTCTCTACTAAAAATGGAAACAAAATTAGCCAGGTGTGGTGTTGCATGCCTGTAATCCCAGCTACTCAGGAGGCTGAGGAAGGAGAATTGCTTGAACCCAGGAAGCGGAGGTTGCAGTGAGCCGAGATCGCGCCATTGCACTCCAGCCTGGGCGACAGAGTGAGACTCCATCTCAAAAAAAAAAAAAAAAAAAAAAAAGAATACTTTGGATAGGGTCCATAGATAAAGACATAGTAAATTGTTCTTATCAATCAAATGGAATCATGTTGAATAAAATATTTCAGCAAACTGTTGTTTTATGTAATAGATTTTGGCCTAGGCCAGCTGGTAACAAGTCACAATTATGAAGGTATGTAGCATGCTTACATCAGTGGGAGAACGTCCTCTTCAGAAAAAGCAAAGCAGGGGCCAGGCGCGGTGGCTCACACCTGTAATCCCAGCACTTTGGGAGGCCAAGGAGGGTCAGATCGCTTGAGCCCAGGAGTTCAAGACCAGCCTGGGCAACATGGTAAAACCCAGTCTCTACCAAAAAAAAAAAAATTAGCTGGATGTGGTGGTGCATACCTGAAGTCTCACAGGCTGAGGTGGGAGAATCACCTGAGCCCTGAAGGTCAGAACTGCAGTGAACTGAGATTGTAGCACTGTACTCCAGCCTGGGTGACAGAGTGAGAACCTGTCTTAGAAAAAAAAAAAAAAAAGAAAGAAAGAAAAAGAAAAGCACAGGTTTTAGGGCTATTCCTTAAAGGATATAATGAAAGACAATGGGGAGACATAAAGACAAGGTGAGGACCGCCCCACTAGGCAACAATAGGTTAGCAAGCCTTGCTTGTACTTACTGTAAAAGACACAATAAGAAAATGAGGTGGAAGTGGAGGGAGAGATGTATATTATATATGAAAGACAAAAGGTAGAGTTATGAAGACCAAGGAGAAATTCTTTATGAGACAACAAAAAAAGCAAATAAGAATTTAAAAAGAAAAAGGCCAGATACGGTGGCTCATGCCTGTAATCCCAGCACTTTGAGAGGCCGAGGCAGGTGGATCACTTGAGATCAGAAGTTCGAGACCAGCCTGGCCCACATGGTGAAACCCTGTCTCTACTAAAAATACAAAAATTAGCTGGGCATGGTAGCAGGTGCCTGTAATCCCAGTTACTTGGGAGGCTGAGGCAGGAGAATCGCTTGAACCCGGGAGGCGGAAGTTGTAGTGAGCCAAGACTGCGCCATTGCACTCCAGCCTGGGCGACAGAGCAAAACTCTGTCTCAAAAAAAAGAAAAGAATTTAAAAAGAAAAAGAGAGAGAGAGAGAGGAATAAAAAAAAATCTGGGATAGTTTTATCCAAAGGGCAAAGGCAGGAATAGTCTCAAAACAGGGCCTTTGTAAAACAGTCTAGAGATACATTGAAGAGAAGAATTAGGATTCTTTCAGCAGGATCCAGAAATCCGTCACCAAAATTTGGGCCAGAGATCAAAGACGGATTTAATTTGGGCTCAAACTTCCCCAGAAATCAAAAGTGGAGATTAAAAGAAATAGATTAATCTGAAAATGGAGACTAAAGAGAATGTGAAATAGCTATACTCCCTAAATTCAAGACCTAGCTACAAAAAGAGTATTCAGACCAAAGACACTGATGACCATGCAAGGGTAGCTGTTTGGTATTTTTCAACTGAGCCATTATAGTTCAGCATTACCCAAGAGAAATATAATGGCATCCCTAAATGTGAGGGCATATGTAATTTAAAATTTTCTACTAGCCACGTTTTTAAAAAAGCAAAAAGATTAGTTGGGCATGGTGGTGCAGGCCTGTAGTTCCAGCTATTCAGGAGGCTAAGGTGGGAGGATCACTGGAGCCCAGCAGTTCAAGGCCACAGTGAACTATGACTCCACCACTGCACTCCAGCCTGGGTGACAGAGCAGGACCCCATCTTAAAAATTTAAAATAAAATAAATAAAACTTTAAGAAACAAAAAGAAACAGCTGAAATTAATTTTAATAATATACTTTTAACCAAAGTTAGAAGTTTCATGTACCAAAATGTTACAATTTCAGCAAATAATCAATATGAAAAATGTCTTGAGATATTTTACATTCTTTTTCCTTCATGCTAAGTCTTCAAAAATCCTTCATATGTTTTATACTTTACAGCACATCTCAATTCAGTTTGAACATACTTCAAGTGTTCAAGAACCACATGTGGCTTGTGGCTATTATATTGGACAGCACAGATATAGAGTATACATATGTGTATATGAGGTCCAAATATCATATATATTATAAAGAAGGCTTACCTATGTAGCACACAAATGATACTGTAAGTTCTTACCGTCAGTGAAGTTTAATCATGCATTGGAACTTTCTGTAAGTGCTAAACAAGAGTGGGTTGAGTAGGAAAATACTAGATAAACAGAGCTAGTAAAGAAAGGCTGGAATCTTGGAATACAATCTCAGATATAGAAATACACATTATTTTTGACCTTGGGCACAGCAGTGAAAAGGCAACTTGAGTTCAGTCTACTAGGTGAGATGAAGAGCTGCGTTGCATTTTCCACAAGAAATGGTGCTAATGATTTCACAATGAATATTAATGCAGTACAAGAGTTAGTTCAATAATGAAACAGAAATGAAAAAAGGAGAAAGAAAAACTTACTTAAATTTGTAGCTTTCTCGCTTATTATTCACAAACCCATCTGCCAAATCACGTGGTAAGATGATTTCCAAGCTAGGTATTAATTTTTCATCTTCATCTATGGAATAAATCTGCAAATGTGAAGACAACAAATGGATATAAAATGGTGAAATTATGGCTTGAACTATCACCATGTTATTATGACTTGTAATGATATGAAAATTATACTCTTAAGATTAAAAAGTCATAATATCATATAATTTGAATAATTTTTCTCTTTGAACTGTGTGGATTCAGACAAATATATGGAACTGAACCAGAAGTAAAACCTAAATTAATGCTGTATCAAAGTCAGATCATCTTTGAATGATCTAACATTCAAATATAAGTATTTGACTATCTCTGTTATTATTGTCATTGAGAAACTAATAGCCTGAAAGCAACATTTTATCTAAGTATTGCTTTAGTATTGTGTATCAGGAGTTAACATTTTACTACAATCAATAAGCATTTCTGAGCATTTACAAAATACCAGAGATAAAGGGACTAGGTTTGGAGCCATCTCAGATAGCTCACCAAGAATGCTCTAATTCAAGTTATGTTCAAAGAAGCCTAAGGTTCCATGAGACATTTTCAGGCATTTGATAAGAGAGATGTGGCTTCAAAAGACACATGTAATTCATGTATTTGATGTCATTTTCAAGGTTCTCCTTCCAACTCAGCCACTAATTAGCAAGTGACCTGGGAGAAATCCTTAAGCCTTTCTAAGCTGATATGGAAATAGAGGGTCTTAACCAACACCCTTAGGACTGTAACATTCTCTGATTCTCTTCCTGGTTTCCTACTCCATCATTTTTATTGGCCAGGAAAATTAAAAGTCAAGCCTATAAAGAGGTCATGTGGAATAAATAAAAGCATAAGATTTGTCCCAAGACTTGGGTCCAACACTGAGCTCAATTTACCAGCTGTGTGACCAGCCACCACTTTCAGAATTGAGGTTCCTTGTACATAAAATGAGGAAAACAGAATTACCTCCCTTACAAGATTGCTGTGGGGATCAAATGATGTAATGGAAATCACCATAAAATTGTAATGCACCATAAAAAAAAAAAGTCATTAGATTTAAAGGTTTTTTTTTTTTTTTTAAAGGCTTCTTGTCTTTTACCATGAAATAAAATTCCTTCTAACAGGCAATACTTCCTGTTTAAGACCCATTTAGATGCTTGGTTATGAGGAAAAAGTCATATTCCTAAGCAAGTAAAAGCCTACCTAAATCTCCAGAAAGTTTGAATATTTTCCTAAGTATATTTTTATTGAAACTTCTCATTTAAAATGTGAAGAATTCATGCAGAAAAGTCATTACATAAAATAAAGTATTTGTAGAAAGCAATGGCATCAGGTTCAAGGCTTTCTGGCTAGGTTTTCTCAAGAGACATTTAAAAATTATATCCTGTTGGGCACTACATTAAAAAAAAAAGTTTTATAGCCAGACAGGTGAGTGAAGGGGGTGTATAAGACATGAAACATACAAGAGTGAGGAGTTACATCCATTTTTAAAAAGTCTATATTTCTCTGCTCAGCAGACAGAAAAGAATATTAACTGCCATTAATGACCCTCCACTACTCTGATTAAGACACTCTTTGAGGCCTTAAGAAAAGTCCCTTAGAACCAGATCACTTGTTTAGTGTAATATTGGCTTTCTATCCTTATTCATAAAAATATTATTTGAGATAGTGAAGTTTTTTTTTTAAGAAGACAGAACAAGTGCAAGGATGATTATGAAAATGTTTTGAAATGTATAAAGCACTGTACAAATGGAAAGCATTACCACTGTTAAAACTATCAAAGATTCATTTTATATATCCTTTTTATTAATCTGTTATTACAATTTACTTTATGATGCCTTAAAGAATAAAAGTAATGCAGTAATGAAGCTATAAAATGAAGAGAAAGAAAAAAATTCCTTTGAGTCACTCTCAATTTAATACTACAAAAAGCATTTCTAGTCAGAGAAAGAACTCTACAATCTTTTGCGGACAAGAAGATATGGCATTAAACTGTGGAGTTTTTAAGGGCGAACAGGGATATACTAATTCAATATTTATTCATTCCCATTCTCTTTGTGTGTATGTGTGTGTGACACCTAAAAATATGACACCTAAAACTACTTCCTGGAGGATCAAACAATCCACTCTACAGACTCACCAAAGACATACAAAATGAGGTACATTAAAATATCCAAACACTGCATTTTAAGAGAAAAGAAAGTTCAGTATTAAATCCAAGACTCTCCATCCACTTCCCTGAGCCCCACCCCTACCCATCCTGTCTCTTGACCTTATCCCAGCCTCTGCTCTGACTGCTGAGCCCATGTAGATAAGCTCAACAGTTTAAGCTAAGAATCTGGGGGGAAATGTTACATACAATACACTTTTTACATATGATGCACTCTAAAAAGAAATGCATGTAAGTGATTATTAGAGGAGAGAAAATGGGAAGATACCCATGGTTCTTTCTACACCACTTTATTCCTGTTTTAAATACATAAATTATACGAGGCAAATGCTTAATCATGAGATGCTATGATATTCCACATAGACATATACCCAGTATATATATGGAACAGGAATACAACATTATTAATATGCCCACTCCATATACTCACAAATATGATCCAAATTGCCCTTGCCTAAATTGTCACTTTGAGAGGCAAAAAAGGTTTCCGAAAAGGGGATAGCTTTGAAATCAAAAATCCTTAATTAAAATTACAGCTCTGCTGTTCACAATAGCAAAGACATAGAACCAATCTAAATGCCCATCAGTGATAGACTGGTTAAAGAAAATGTGGTACATATATATACACCATGGAATACTATGCAGCCATAAAAAAGGATGAGTTCATGTCGTTTGCAGGGACATGGATGAAGCTGGAAACCATCATTCTCAGCAAACTAAAACAAGAACAGAAAGCCAAACACCACATGTTCTCACTCATAAGTGGGAGCTGAACAATGAGAACGCATGCACACAGGGAGGGGAACATCACACCCTGGGGCCTGTCGTGGGGTGGGAGGCTACGGGAGGGATAGCATTAGGAGAAATACCTAATGTAGATGACAGATTGGTGGGTGCAGCAAACCACCACGGCACGTGTATACCTACGTGAGAAACCTGTACGTTCTGCACATGCACCCCAGGACTTAAAGTATAATAACGAATAAAATAAATGTTCTAAAATTGAAAAAAAAAATTACAGCTATGCCACTCCCCAGCTGGGTGCCTTGGTCACATTATTTAACCTGAGACTCAGTTTCCTAATCTGTAAAATGCGGAAAATGACACCAACCTTGCAGGGTTCTTGTGAGAATGAGAGATAATGCAGATAAAGCACCTGTCAGGTGGCCATTTCTCAAGATACATAAGAATGACTATGCTCCCTTCTAGGCAGAAGAGAGGATGTTTTGAAATATTTAAGAAGCATAAAAAGTGCTGGGCGCGGTGGCTCACGCCTGTAATCCCAGCACTTTGGGAGGCCGAGGCGGGCGGATCACAAGATCAGGAGGAGATCGAGACCATCCTAGCTAACAGGGTGAAACCCGGTCTCTTCTAAAACCACAAAAAATTAACCGGGCGTGGTGGCGGGCACCTGTAGTCCCAGCTACTTGAGAGGTTGAGGCAGGAGAATGGCGTGAATCCAAGAGGCAGAGCTTGCAGTGAGCCGAGATCGCGCCACTGCACTTCAGTCTGGGTGGCAGAGCGAGACTCCGTCTCAAAAAAAAAAAAAAAAAAAAAAGGTGCATACAAAGTATCATTGCTCAGAGTCAGGGCAATGTCTTAACCTTCTTTATACCTTTCTGAATTTAGCACACTAGAGGAAGCACCTGGTAAATATTTAGTTAATTGTTTCTGAATGAAGTACACATGCGTATTCTTTGGGTCAGGATGCTTAAGCATCTACCTATATCTATTAATACAAGGAGTATATGTAAAGGTTCACGTTTATGTTGGAGAATAACAACAGTCAACTAATTACTGAGGCCCCACTGGGTGCAAAGTACTACATATGTGTATGCTTTGTGCATTTGTGTCTATCTATATTTGTATTATTTCAGAGGTACATAAACACGCATCTCTTGCTTGCACGTTTTGCCCGAGTGCCAAAATGTACCTTTGAGTGTATCTGCATGTGCGGTGCTGCGTGAGTTTCCCAGAAAGGTGCAATAAGTGCTTATGTGTAGTTGAAGCGCACACTATACAGGCATACTGAACATGCACTAGTCTGCCCCCGCGTGAACACGTGTGCCTGGGTGCAAAAAAAATGGCTCTCTGCCGGGTCTGCGCTGTGCCAGGTAGGAGTGGCCTGGCTGTCGGTCGCGTAGCTGACAGCAGTGCGCGGGGGTCTTCGCGGCTGCAGGGCTCCTCGGTCAGTGTGTGCGGGATTCCGGGCGGCCTCGGCGCCCACCAGCAAGCCCCTCACCTCCGCCCAGCCCCTTCGCGTGCCGCCGCCCGACCCCAGCCCAAGAGGCCCCGCCGCGCCGGCGCCCCGGAGGCTCCAGCCCGTACCCCTTGTTGGTGCTTCCGGACAGGGGGCTTCACCCTCGCGAATATCTGGATAGTCTGCTTCACCATCTCCTCCCTGGCTCTGCAATGACCCTTGACCTCTCTCAGGCCCGGGCTGCCAAAACTAACTCCCACCACCTCCGGCGACCCACAGTCTTAGCAACAGTAGCTAGGGACACTACCCAGTGAGCACCTTGGCAGCCAGGATCCCGCCTCCTCCCTCTAATTGGTCGCGACCGGAAGGAGGCCACTACGGGGCGGGGCTAGGGAGGGGAGGGCGGGGGTGGAGAGGAGAGCGCTGCGCATGCGCATGAGCGAGTGTCTGGGCTCTGGGTTTAGCGCCGGACCCGGCCTGGACCGTGTGGTTAAAGGGGAACAACCACCATGCCTTGCCCCGCCCCGCTCATTCACCCATTTTATTCTCCATGCCCTTGCCTTTAAAAAAAAATACAGCACTGGGCCGGGCGTGGTGGCTCATGCTTGTAATCCCAGCAGTTTTTGGGAAGCCGAGGTGGTAGGATCGCTTAGAGCCCAGGAATTTGAGACCAGCCTGGGCAGCATAGTGAGACTCCGTCTCTACAAAAAATACAAAAGTTAGCCAAGCGTGGTGGCGCGCCTGTATCCCAGCTACTCGGGAGGTTGAGGCAGGAGGATCGCTTGAGCCCGGGAGGTCGAAGCTGTAGTGAGCCAAGATTGCAGAACTGCTCCAGCCCACTTGGAGATCACAGTCTGAAGAAGGAGACAGATTTTTTTTTTCCTTCACAAGGTCTCTCAAGTGACAAGGAGACAGATTTTCAACAGGAAATCAAAACCAAGGAATACAAACTATGCCATGATGGAATTAGAAGTGGGGCTAGCTCTGTTTTGGAAAAGGATAAAACTGGATGAAGGGGACTGTTTCCCACACAATGGTCACGGCAAGAAAGGATGAGCTCTTCAAACACTGTTAGCACATGAAAAGATAGTCAACATTATTATCCACGTGGGAAATATAAGTTAAAACCACAATGAGGCATCACTATTCATCTATCAGAATGGCTTAAAAAAAAAAAAAAAAAAAAAAAGTGGCAACACCAGATGCTAGCAAAGATGTGGAGAAACTGAATCAGTTGCACTTTACTGGTAGGAATGTATAATGTAAAACATACACTGTATAAAGGTACAGCCACTCTGGAAAATAGTTTGACAGTTTCTTACAAAACTAAAGGTGCAACTACTCTAAGACACAGCAATTGCACTCTTGGGCATTTATCTCAGATGAATGAAAACGTGTGTTCACACAAAAACCTGCGCATGTGTGTTTATAGTTTTAGCACCTTTATTTGTAATAGCCCCAAACTGGAAAAAAAACCCAGATGTTCTTCAGCTGATAGTTTAAAATAACTGGAATACCATTCAGCAATTAAGAAGGAAGGAAGTGTTGATACACGTAACAAATTGGTTGAATTTTCGGGGAATTATGTTTCATGAAAGAAGCCAGACTCGAAAGCTAACTACCGTATGGTTCTATTACTATTGCCAGGGAGGTGTGCAGGGTATGGTTATAAAAGAAATCCTTGTGATGGGCTGTTCTGTATCTTGACTGTGATGGTGATCACAGAAATCTACACATGTGATAGCATTGCATAGAACAAATTACACACATGTTCAAATAAGCACATGTAAAACTGGCAAAAGTCACATAAAATTGAATAAGATTGATGGATTGTATCAATGTCAATTCCCTGATTTTTATATTGTACTATAGTTATGCAAAACATTACCACTGGGGAAAACTGGGAGATGGGTATACGAGTTCTCTCTGTATTATTTTTTACAAAACAAAAAGTTTATTAAAGACACCCTTTTTTCTTTCTTTCTTTTTTGAGACAAGGTCTTGCTCTGTACCCCAGGCTGGAGTGCAGTGGCATGAACACGGCTCACTGCAGCCTCAACCTCCTGGGCTCAAGCGATTCTCCTGCCTCAGCCCCACAAGTAGCTGGGCTTATAGACATGTGCCATCACACTCAGCTAATTTTTGTATTTTTTGCAGAGACAGGATTTCATCATCTTGCCCAGGCTGGTCTTGAACTCCTGAGGTCAAGCAATCCACCCACCTCAGCCTCCCAAAGTGCAGGGATTACAGCCATGAACCACTGCACCCAGCTGAAAGACACTTAAGAAAACAAAAAGACTAACTACAGATTGGGAGAAAACTTTTGCAAAACACGTATCTTGATAAAGGACTTGCATCCAGAATATATACAAACTGTTAAAACCTAATAATAGAAAAACAAACAATTCATTTGTTTAAGGTGAAGGGAGGGTGCAAAGATTTGAACAAACGCTTCACCAAAGAGGATCTATGGATGGCAAATAAGCACATGAAAAATATGCTCAATATCATTAATCATTAATGAAATGAAATTAAAACCACAATGAGATACCACTACACATCTCTTAGAATGGCGAAAAATAAGAAAATAAAACTGACAAAACTAAGTGCCGACATGGATGCAGAGCATCTAGAACTCTCAAACATCACTGATGAGAAAACAAGATGGACCAGCCACTTTGTAAAATAGTTTTGTAATTTCTTATAAAGTTATACACATACTTACCATATGACACAACAATCCCACTCTTAGTTATTAACCCAAATGAAATGAAAACTATGTTCACATAGAAACCTAAACATGAATGTGTATAGTGGCTTTATTCACAATTGCCAAAAACTGGAAACAAAGTAAATGTTCTTCAGCTGGTAAATAGATAAACAAACTGATATATCTATGCCGTAAAAAGGAATGAATTACAGATGCCTACAACAACATGGTTAAGTCTCACATTTATTATGATGAGTGAAAGATACCAGACTCACTGCGTACTTTATAATTCCATATATAATTGAATTATATATAATATATATCTAATTATATATATCATATATAATATGTTATATATGTTATATATTATATGTCATATATAATTATATTTATATCTGTATATATATATGACATTCGAGAAAAAAAAAAACTGTAAGGATAGAAAACAGATCAGTGGTTTCCAGGTGCTGAGGGTAGGAAAAGGGGTTGACTGCAGATGAACATGGGAGAGTTTTTTGGGGGGTGATGGAACTGTTGCATATTTAGATTGTGGTTGTGGTAACATAAGTATATGCATTTGTTAAAACTCATAGAACTATCTATACACTTAAAAGAGTGAATTATACTGTATATAAACTGTACCACAATAAGAAAAGAAAAAAAAAAGAAGAAGATTGAGTATGAACAGGTGCTGCAATATCAGGAATTGAGAAGAAGAGAGAACCAGGTATTTATTATATAGACTTTGGGGCTTTTTCACCTAGCAAGGAAGAGATGACTCAAGATTGGGTGCAGGTATTCACCTGGACAAGCAAAATAGATGGGAGTGGGAAAAAGGAGGAAATAAGGAGTTGGGGACATGTTAAATTTCAATTGCTTGTGGGACTTCAGAAGTAACTGGATAAGGTTTAGGAGTAAGTTATGGTGGAAATATAGGCTTGGGAGTCATCACAAAGTTTTTTCCAGAAAGTAACCAAGTCACTCACGAGCATCAAGGTTGAAATCCTAACACTGATGGTTGGAGGTGGAAGAGGGGCTGCAAAAGAAGTTGAAGGAAGCAGCCAGAGAGGTCTGAGAGAGAAAAGGGAATGTTATGCCATGGAAGCCAAGGGAAGAGAACATTTTGAGAGGAAAGTATTCAACGGTGTTGAATAGTAAAGACAATGCACTGAAAAACACCCATTTCATTCAGCAACTAGAAAGTCATTAGTAATATAGATTTCAGTGGAGTAGCAGTGTCAGAAGTCAGGTTGCCAGAGGCTGAAGAATAAGTGGGAAGTTAGGAAGTGGAGGCAGTCAAGATAGGCTACTTTTCACAGAAGCCTAGTTGTGAAGGATTGTGAAGAAGCAACACACAGGTGAGAGCTAGAGGAACCCAGCGTACCAGTGGTCTTTGTCCATATCCAAAGGGGTATATCTAATAAACAAGGGGAGGTTGACGGTATGGGGAAGAGAGAAGAGAATGGGTGTTTTCCTCAGATGAGCAATTGCACTTACCAAGAGGGTGTAATGGAAGGTGACAAGGCCAGGGAGCCAAGGGTATTCACAAAGGAGCATTTTAATCATGAAGTCTAGGCTGCTTAAAGATACCTGTGGTCTTTGAAGAAGTGTTGCAAAAGGAAGAAGGGAAATCTGTGGGTCCAGGATGTGGGATCTTTAACAATTCCTGTCTTGAGCTCTGGGTCATACAATTAAATGTTTCGATGGAGAGAAAATGTGGGTTCCAATCCTGCATCTGTCATTCCCAAATCCTGTGTTCATCTTTACTTGTGTGACCTTGGGCAAGTAATTTATGCTTTTAAGTCTCAGTTGCCTCATCCAATAAATGAAGATAGATAATAACAATAGCTACCTCATGGGGTTATCATGGACATGTAATGTGGGCATTAACGTGGTTTCCGGTGAATAGAGAATGCTCATATCTAAAGGGTTCTGACCTGTGGATTGAATTCCTTTGATTGTAAACACCTTCTAAAGAGCAGAAACAATGGCATACATATGCATGTAAGACATATTGGAGATTGCAAACTCAAATGTCTCCTGGGGCCAGACCAATGATGTAAATTCATCAAGCAGACAGGCATATGACAATAGGGAGCGTCATGGTGAACTGGAGACTAGTGCCCCAACTAAAACCATTCACATTCAAAATGGTTACAGCACAGTACTGCCTAAATAAAGCACATTTGCAGGACCATACTTCAACCCCTTTTTCTGTTTCTGGTATAACTGACCTCAGTAACTCCCAGGCCCACTGCCTCTGACAGGTTTACCTAAATCTCAAACAGATGGCTGTAATGTGTACAAAATAGGTTTTGAGATTAAATCTCCAAGTCACAGTGTCTTTCCCACCCCTGGATTTATATTCAGTGTTATTATTTGTATTTTATCTGCTTGTTTAAATGTGAGAATTAAGATGCTTTTCAACTATTTAAAAGATGCTTGAACTTTGTAGTTGCCAAAATAACAGATAATTGTACCAGGCAAATTAGCCAGGGTTTATAAGCCTCAAATCTGAAAGAAATTAAGCTGTGCCTGAAATGAATTAGTCTATCGGTAAGTTAGTTGGATTTGTTTGCTTGTATGTTTCGTTTTGTTTTGTTTTGTTTAAAAAAAAAATGAAACTACGCTCTCGCACTAGTTTTCAAATACCTCTTTAGCTGTTGCTGCTACAACTATAAAATGCATTATTTTATTTTACAAGTCTGAAGAGGGACCAGTAAAAATGTTATGGGCTGTAATTTTGATATAGAATATGTACATAAAATTACCTAATTGCAGTCAATTTCCTCCTCCCCTAGTTTATCCATGGCTTTGGGGAATTTATGTTTTTGCTTGTTCAAAAATCTTTCATGGTCACAGCATGACTGTCCCCTCCCACCCCCGCCATTATAAGGTGAACAAGACTTTCCAGACAGGTGCTGGAGACTTCACTAACAAGAGAGAAAACATTTGACTGGGGTCTTCTTTTAATAACTACCTCCAAGAAGCAAGGCCAGTCATCAGAAATTTGCCACTTATTAATAAATAGCAATATTAATGGAACAAAAGTCAACCAAGGCTGGGTGCAGTGGCTCACACCTGTAATCCCAGCACTTTGTGAGGCCAAGGCGGGTGGATCATTTGAGGTCAGGAGTTTGAGACCAGCTTGGCCCTGTCTCTACTAAAAAATACAAAAGTTAGCCGGGCGTGGTGGCACACACCTGTAATGCCAGCTACTGGGGAGGCTGAGGCAGGAGAATCACTTGAACCTGGGAAGCAGAGGTTGCAGTGAGCCGAGATTGCACCACTGTACTCCAGTCTGGGCGATGAAGTAAGACTTCGTCTCGAAAAAAAAAGAATCAACTTATGTAAACTGTCCCTTTATATTTGGTGATACTGGGTAGGACTTTGGGCACTGTATGATTCCTGGGTGTCCCTGATTGAGGATTTCATGGGAAGTAGTCAAAAGAAGAGGAAGAAAAAACATATTTTCTGCGGAGGAGACTTTCATCAGAAATCCCCTCCCTATCAGTCTGTGGGTGGTCAGTACCAGAAGGATCCTCTAATACCAGGCAGTCTAAGAAGGTAATTTATTTCATTGTTTCTGAACCAAGTGGAGAATACTCAGAGCAATTTCTGGTACTCATTAAATGCCAAATAATAACAACATGCTGTTAAATTGCAGAGCAAGGGTACCACAAAATCTGTAATATATAATTTTAGCAAAAAATGTTCTTCTGAGAATATGTTCAGCTAATTTAAAGCATAGTTTCATTAGCATAACCATCTTTCCACATATAGCGGAGTGGAATTCATAAAACGTCACCAGCACTTGGGTCGATAGGATTTTGCCATCACACTCGGTTCTCTCTCCTGCTGGTTCTTACCTCTTTGGCTAAGAAGCAGAGGCCCCTTTCTCCCAATTTATCTGATCTCTTCCTGCAGCACCCCCTGGAGCTCCCCCTGAAGAACAACATCAAAGCCATTTAGGGCTGGAAGCTGGTGGCCAGCCATATGGAATTACAGCCCAGGCTCTTGCCGGATTATAGACTATAACATATGAACCAAATGACAGTGCCATGGCATCGAGGGAAAGCTGGTAAAGCCTCCAGTTTTGAATGGAAAATATGACTGTGTATTTATACACAGGCTCCTCATAAACAACCTGAATGTTTCACCAACATCCCGAGGAAACAAGGGATGGGCTGAGTTAAAAATAGCTCTAGAACGCCTCTCTTCTAACTAAATTACCCATGCTGTCCTATCTCCTGAGGGTGTTTACTTAAATGTGCTTCTTTGCATATTTCAGAATTAGAAAAAATGCTTATCAACAAATAACTGAAAACGTAAAAGAAAATGGCTCACATAGCAGAGAGCCTTATCTGACACATTATTATTGTCACAACATCCAACCACACCTTATTCATCCTGAATCTGGGTATTTGGCAGTCGAATCTATCCAGGTCTCTACTTCCTAATCTCTCATTTACTTTTCAACCTCCTGCAGTCTAGTTTCTGTCTCTCCTCCTCCATGGGACCTATTTAAACTTTGCACCTCCAGAGTGACACCTTTTGTCTGTACATTTTGGAATATTGTCATGATAGAGCCAGTTGCCTAGGCATGACCTCAAAGTTGCCCTTTGCTGCTTCCTCTCTCTAGCATATCTACATCCAAATAGTTTCCAAGTCCTGGTTATGCTGCCTCCTGAATAATTTTTTCCTCCCTCCCCTCAACTTTGTCCTCACTACTTACTACTTGCTTTAGTTTGGCTCTTAGTCTCTTTGCCAGAACTAGCAAAGTTCTCCTAACTGCTTTTCCTGCCTCTAATCCCGCCCTCCCCTTTATTCCGTCTGTTACAACCGCTGCAAGATTATACAATGCAAACCAGTTCACATCAGTGCTTGTTTGAAGACCTCCAATCCCTGTTACAAATAGAATCAAGGCCAAAAGTCCTTCATAACCTGGTCCCCAGCTGTCTTTACATCACTTTCATAGCCCTTACCATGTCTTCCACCTCCTCTTCCCTGCCCCTGTACGCCAGCCACAGATTTCCTGCAGTTCCCAAGCACGCCGTGTTTTTTCATTTCTCCATGCTTTTGTCAGGACCATTTCTTCTGTTTTCAGTGCTGCCTCCCACTTTGTCAGGAAAATTCGACCTATACTTCAAGATCCAGCTCAAATGTCACCCGGTCTGGAAAGCCATCCCTTCCATCTCCCCTAGCGAAGTTAGTGACCCTCTTCTGTGAAGCTACATCTTTATACGTTCCTTTGTATTAGTGCTTCTTTCGCTGCCAATGTTGTCAATATGTATCTGTCTCCTCATCATTCTTAGGATTATTTAAGGGCAGCGACTAAACCCTGTTTATCTTTGTATTTCCAGTGACTAACAAGGTTTAGGTACTGGGGAGATTTCTACATGTGTATTGAATGAATGAGTGGATGCAGAACTCATTGCAAGGAATTGATTCAATAAAACCTTTACAAATTAAAAATTTTTATTAGAGCTTCATATTTTCATAGTGAAAATTACTTTCTCTTCCTGTTTCACCCAAGAAAACAAAGACAATCTACAAATTGAGTAGACATTTAGCAAGAGAAAGAATTAAATCATGGTTTCCATTTCTGAACCTTCTTTTTTCAGGCAAAAAAAAAAAAAAAAAAAATGGTTGCAAATTTCCCAGGGTGATAAACAGAGTACATTAACATTTGTATCAATGGAAGACAACAGAAACAGGATCTGAGGGAGTGATAGGTATAGAAGCACAGTGGCCCACTGTTAAATTAGTGAGTTTCTTTCAGGATGTCTGGGAAGCATTTAATGACTCTAGGGATCAATTTGTTTTTAATTTAAAAAGAATGCATCGTTTACAAATCACCAATTAAATACTTATTCACCTTCTTTTATTTCGTATTAAAATGGACTTTCAGATGTTTGACAAAGGCAGTTTGCTCTTCCTCCTCTGCCATGACTTTTATTTCCCCAAATACAAAAAGAATGTTTCCTAAATTACACAGCTTGTAACACTTTTCTCCCTCCTCTTTTCCAAGCCTTTGCTCACTGCTCAGGCAGAACTGAAACATCACTCTCTTTGAGAAGTCTCCCCTGACCCTCTCAGACTAGATTCAGAGCCCTAGCTACATGTGCCCTTAGCACCTTGGACTTTATAATTACTACTAGTCTAGGTTAAATGAAGGCCTAGATCACTTTTCACTTGCTCATCATCGTATTCCATTCTTGTATGTAGTAAGTGTTTAATAAATACTTATTTAATGAGAAATGACATAATGGTTAAACTGGTAAAAACATGCCTGCTGGGGGAAAAAACAACATTGTCTCAGATTGCATTCTCCCCAAACAGACACTGAGATGAGGATTTGGGTGTCAGGAATTTATTTGGGAGATGATCCCAAGAAAACAGGGAAAGGAAGAAAACCAGTGATAGGTGCATTTATGGGTGGATTTTCCCAGTGGGAAAGTAGGGCTCATTCCCACCAGGACCCTCCACAAGACTGTTACAGAGCACACCTCAGCATTGCTCCCCAAGGGGCGAAGAAGCAGGGTATTTATTCAACAGCTCCTGCTTTTCATTGCTGGAGGGCTGCTCTCGGAGGTGGGAATATTCTACCTCCCCAGCACTTCCAACTTACCCTGTGTGCCCTGACATTCAGAGAAAGCCGTTGGGCAGAGAGAGGTGCAGACCCTGGAGGCAGGATGCTTTTGGCATGTATAGGTATGTCCACTAAAGTTGCAATGATCTGCGGGGTGGACTGGGAAGAAGTGGGCAGAGTATCAACAGTGTCTTCTATGGTCAGCACTATTGATGTTTTTCTTCTAAATTTCTAAATTAAAAACATGTATGTTAGAAAATTACCAAGCATACTTGTGTACTTCTAAGTTTTATGTGGTTATCTAAGTAACAGGATCTACCTCTAAATGATAATATTATAACATCCTATAGTATGTGGTTATCTAAGTAACAGCATCTACCTCTAAATGATAATAGTATAACATCCTATAGAATCACAGTAAACCACACAAGATTCATCTGCTCTAGGAACACATAACATCCAATCATAGATGCTTAGATCACGTTCGTCAGCCAATCATCCTTTTAGTATTATTTACCTATTTGATGATCTCTAATCTGTGTCTGTGTGTGTCTTATAATATATAGTTTTGATAATATTCCACTTTTTTATATACTAAACATTTGTACTATACAATGTTTTCTCTGTGGATCAGTTGCTAAATCAAGGATTTAAAGGATTAAAGGACAAAAAGCTGGCATTAACTCTCCCGGGCAATGTGTTGGTGTTCTGTGTTTACATTATAATTTTTAAGTGCCCTATGGTCAAAGAAATTTGGAAAATTCTGTTTTAAAGTCAAGCTCTACTGAAAATGTTTTAATGGTTCCCCACTTTCCATTGAATTAAGAACATCTTACCAAGCCATTCAAGACACTCCACAAATTAGTTCCAACATGTTCCCCTTTCCCTCCAATCAAACTGAACCACGCGTCTCTGTCCCTACACAGCCTGCTTCACCGCCAGCACCCATCACCTTCTGTGGGCCTCCTTCTGCCCTGACCTCTCTTCTCCCCCATCTCCAATCTCTGCCTGCTAAATCACGCCACCTTTTAAGGTACATCTTAAATCCCATAAGTTTTCATTTCTCATCACACTTACAAAGTGAGGTCTCCATCTCATCTGCCTTTAAACCCTCTAGTCTCTGTGTTTACTTCTCTTGAAGCTCTTTATGTAGACTGCTTTCTAGTATAGCATTCAGAATGTGCCATTCTTTCCTCTAGCCTAATGCCTTTCTAAGACAGTTTAAAGTTCCCTCAAGGGCAGATCCATGACTTTCTCATTTTTGTATTCTATCCTACCTTTAGTAGAGTGCCTGGCATATAATACTCAAACGTTAAATGTTTGTTGAGTTGAATTTTTAAACTTGATTGTAAAATTCACTTACGGTATAGTACACTTTTTTGAAATACACAGTTCTGTGAATTTTGACAAATGTATACAGCCATATAACCATCACCATAATTGGGATACAGAACAATTCTATCACTCCTCCCACCTCCAAATTCTCTCATGTTGCTTATTTGTCATCAAATCATCTCCTCACTTTGGGCTCCTGACAGCTACTGATCTATTCTTGATCCCTATAATTTTGCCTTTTCTAGAATGTCATATCAATAAAATCATACAATATGTAACCTCTGAGTCTGGCTTCTTTGCTCAGTGTAATGTATTTGCAATTCATTCATTATTTTGCAAGTATCAATAGTTTGTTCTTTTGTATTGTTGAGTAGTATTCCATGGATTGGATGTACCACTGTTTGTTTATCCTTTCAACCACTTAAGGATGTAAGCCTTCATTTATCTAGGGTTAGTGCCTAGGAGAAGGATTTCTGGGTCATATTGTTAGTGTATGATTAAATTTATAAGAACTCCCAAAACTGTTTTCCAAAATGAATATACCATTTTGCATTCCCACTGGAAATATTTCAGAATTCCAGATGCTCTCTATCCTCATCAGCACTTGGTATTGACACTTAAGAAATTTTTTAGCCATTTAGTAAGTACTAGTGGGGGTGGAGCCAAGATGGCCGAATAGGAACAGCTCCAGTCTACAGCTCCCAGCATAAGCAACACAGAAGACGAATGATTTCTGCATTTCCAACTGAGGTACTGGGTTCATCTCACTGGGGATTGTCGGACAGTGGGTGCAGGACAGTGGGTGCAGTGCACCAAGCGTGAGCCGAAGCATGGCGAGGCATTGCCTCACGTGGGAAGTGCAAGGGGTCAGGGAATTCCCTTTCCTAGCCAAGGAAAGAGGTGACAGACAGCACCTGGAAAATCAGGTCACTCCCACCCTAATACTGCACTTTTCCAATGGTCTCAGCAAAGAGCACACCAGGAGATTGTATCCTGCGGCTGGCTCAGAGGACCCTACGACCACGGAGCCTTGCTCATTGCTAGCACAACAGTCTGAGATCAAACTGCAAGGTGGCGGTGAGGCTGGGGGAGGGGCACCTGCCATTGCCGAGGCTTGAGTAGGTAAACAAAGTGGCCGGGAAGCTCGAACTGGGTGGAGCCCACCGCAGCTCAAGGAGGCCTGCCTGCCTCTGTAGACTCCACCTCTGGGGGTAGGGCATAGCCAAACAAAAGCCAGCAGAAACCTCTGCAGACTTAAATGCCCCTGTCTGACAGCTTTGAAGAGAGTAGTGGTTCTCCCAGCACGCAGCTTGAGATCTGAGAACCGACAGACTGCTTCCTCAAGTGGATCCCTGACCCCCGAGTAGCCTAACTGGGAGGCATCCCCCAGCAGGGTCAGACTGACACCTCACAAGGCCAGGTACCCCTCAAAGACAAAACTTCCAGAGGAATGATCAGGCAGCAACATTTGCTGTTCAATATCCGCTGTTCTGCAGCCTCCGCTGCTGATACCTAGGCAAACAGGGTCTGGAGTGGACCTCCAGCAAACTCCAACAGACCTGCAGCTGAGGGTCCTGACTGTTAGAAGGAAAACTAACAAACAGAAAGGACATCCACATCAAAATCCAATCTGTACGTCACCATATCAAAGACCAAAGGTAGATAAAACCACAAAGATGGGAAAAAAACAGAGCAGAAAAACTGAAAATTCTAAAAATCAGAGCACCTCTCCTCCTCCAAAGGAATGCAGCTCCTCACCAGCAATGGAACAAAGCTGGACGGAGAATGACTTTGACGAGTTGAGAGAAGAAGGCTTCAGATGATCAAACTACTCTGAGCTAAAGGAGGAAGTTCAAACCCATGGCAAAGATGTTAAAAACCTTGAAAAAAGATTAGACGAATGGCTAACTAGAACAACCAATGCAGAGAAGTCCTCAAAGGACCTGACGGAGCTGAAAACCACCGCATGAGAACTACATGACAAATGCACAAGCCTCAGTAGCCGATTCGATCAACTGGAAGAAAGGGTATCAGTGATGGAAGATCAAACGAATGAAATGAAGTGAGAAGAGAAGTTTAGAGAAAAAAGAATAAAAAGAAACGAACAGAGCCTCCAAGAAATATGGGACTATGTGAAAAGACCAAATCTAAGCCTGATTGGTGTACCTGAAAGTGACGGGGAGAATGGAACCAAGTTGGAAAACACTCTGCAGGATATTATCCAGGAGAACTTCCCCAATCTAGCAAGGCAGGCCAACATTCAGATTCAGGAAATACAGAGAATGCCACAAAGATACTCCTCGAGAAGAGAAAGTCCAAGACATGTAATTGTCAGATTCACCAAAGTTGAAATGAAGGAAAGAATGTTAAGGGCAGCCAGAGAGAAAGGTCAGGTTACCCACAAAGGGAAGCCCATCAGACTAACAGCTGATCTCTCAACAGAAACTCTACAAGCCAGAAGAGAGTGGGGGCCAATATTCAACATTCTTAAAGAAAAGAATTTTCAACCCAGAATTTCATATCCAACCAAACTAAGCTTCATAAGTGAAGGAGAAATAAAATCCTTTACAGACAAGCAAATGCTGAGAGATTTTGTCACCACCAGGCCTGCCCTAAAAGAGCTCCTGAAGGAAGCACTAAACATGCAAAGGAACAACCGGTACGAGTCACTGCAAAAACATGCCAAATTGTAAAGACCATCAAGGGTAGGAAGAAACTGCATTGACTAATGAGCAAAATAACCAGCTGACATCAGAATGACAGGATCAAATTCACACATAACAATATTAACCTTAAATGTAAATGGGCTAAATACTCCAATTAAAAGACAAAGACTGGCAAATAGGATAAAGAGTCAAGACCCGTCAGTGTGCTGTATTCAGGAAACCCATCTCACGTGCAGAGACACACATAGGCTCAAAATAAAAGGATGGAGGAAGATCTACCAAGAAAATGGAAAACAAAAAAAGGCAGGGGTTGCAATCCTGGTCTCGGATAAAACAGACTTTAAATCAACAAAGATCAAAGAGACAAAGAAGGCCATTACATAATGGTAAAGGGATCAATTCAACAAGAAGAGCTAACTATCCCAAATATATATGCACCCAATACAGGAGCACCCAAATTCATAAAGCAAGTCCTTAGAGACCTATAAAGAGACTTAGACTCCCACACAATAATAATGGGAGACTTTAACACCCCGCTGTCAACATTAGGCAAATCAATGAGACAGAAAGTTAACAAGGGCATCCAGGAATTGAACTCAGCTCTGCACCAAACAGACTTAATAGACATGTACAGAACTCTCCACCCCAAATCAACAGAATATACACTCTTTTCAGCACCACACCACACCTGTTCCAAAATTGACCACATAGTTGGAAGTAAAGCACTCCTTAGCAAATGTAAAAGAACAGAAATTATAACAAATTGTCTCTCAGACCACAGTGCAATCCAACTAGAACTCAGGATTAAGAAACTCACTCAAAACCGCTCAACTACATGGAAACTGAACAATCTGCTCCTGAATGACTCCTGGGTACATAACGAAATGAAGGCAGAAATAAAGATGTTCTTTGAAACCAACGAGAACAAAGACACAACATACCAGAATCTCTGGGACACATTCAAAGCAGTGTGTAGAGGGAAATTTATAGCACTAAATGCCCACAAGAGAAAGCAGGAAAGATCTAAAATTGACACCCTAACATTACAATTAAAAGAACTTGAGAAGCAAGAGCAAACACATTCAAAAGCTAGCGGAAGGCTAGAAATAACTAAGATCAGAGCAGAACTGAAGAAAATAGGGACACAAAATACCCTTCAAAAAATCAATGAATCCAGGAGCTGGTTTTTTGAAAAGATCAACAAAATTGACAGACTGCTAGCAAGACTAATAAAGAAGAAAAGAGAGAAGAATCAAATAGTCGCAATAAAAAATGATAAAGGGGATATCACCACCGACCCCACAGAAATACAAACTACCATCAGAGAATACTATAAACATCTCTATGCAAATAAACTAGAAAATCTAGAAGAAATGGATAAGTTCCTGGATATATACACCCTCCCAAGACTAAACCAGGAAGAAGTTGAGTCTCTGAATAGACCAATAACAGGCTCTGAAATTGAGGCAATAATTAATAGCTTACTAACCAAAAAAAGTCCAGGACCAGATGGATTCACAGCCGAATTCTACCAGAGATACAAGGAGGAACTGGTACCATTCCTTCTGAAACTATTCCAATCAATAGAAAAAAAGGGAATCCTCCCTAACTAATTTTATGAGGCCAGCATCATCCTGATACCAAAGCCTGGGAGAGATACAACAAAAAAAGATAATTTTAGACCAATATCTCTGACGAACATCGATGCAAAAATCCTCAATAAAATACTGGCAAACCGAATCCAGCAGCACATCAAAAAGCTTATCCACCATGATCAAGTGGGCTTCATCCCTGGGATGCAAGGCTGGTGCAATATATGCAAATCAATAAACATAATCCAGCATATAAACAGATCCAATGACAAAAACCACATGATTATCTCAATAGGTGCAGAAAAGGCCTTTGACAAAATTCAACAACTCTTCATGCTGAAAACTCTCAATAAATTAGGTATTAATGGGACGTATCTCAAAATAATAAGAGCTATCTATGACAAACCCACAGCCAATATCATACTGAATGGGCAAAAACTGGAAGCATTCCCTTTGAAAACTGGCACAAGACAGGGATGCCCTCTCTCACCACTCCTATTCAACATAGTGTTGGAAGTTCTGGCCAGGGCAATCAGTCAGGAGAAGGAAATAAAGGGTATTGAATTAGGAAAAGAGGAAGTCAAATTGTCCCTGTTTGCAGATGACATGATTGTATATCTAGATAACCTCATCGTCTCAGCCCAAAATCTCCTTAAGGTGATAAGCAAATTCAGCAAAGTCTCAGGATACAAAATCAATGTACAAAAATCACAAGCATTCTTATACACCAACAACAGACAAACAGAGAGCCAAATCATGAGTGAACTCCCATTCACAATTGAATTCACAAAGAGAATTCAATTCTCTTTGAAAAGAGAATAAAATACCTAGGAATCCAACTTACAAGGGATGTGAAGGACCTCTTCAAGGAGAACTACAAACCACTGCTCAATGAAATAAAAGAGGATACAAACAAATGGAAGAACATTCCATGCTCATGGGTAGGAAGAATCAATATTGTGAAAATGGCCATAGAGCCCAAGGTAATTTATAGATTCAATGCCATCCCCATCAAGCAACCAATGACTTTCTTCACAGAATTGGAAAAAACTACTTTAAAGTTCACATGGAATCAAAAAAGAGCCCGCATCGCCAAGCCAAAAGAACAAAGCTGGAGGCGTCACGTTACCTGACTTCAAACTATACTACAAGGCTACAGTAACCAAAACAGCATGGTATTGGTACCAAAACAGAGATATAGACCAATGGAACAGAACAGAGCCCTCAGAAATAATGCCACATATCTACAATTATCTGATCTTTGACAAACCTGACAAAAACAAGCAATGGGGAAAGGATTCCCTATTTAACAAATGGTGCTGGGAAAACTGGCTAGCCATATGTAGAAAGCTGAAACTGGATCCCTTCCTTACGCTTTATACAAAAATTAATTCAAGATGAATTAAAGACTTAAATGTTAGACCTAAAACCATAAAAACCCTAGAAGAAAACCTAGGCAATACCATTCAGGACATAGGCATGGGCAAGGACTTCATGTCTAAAACACCAAAAGCAATGGCAACAAAAGACAAAATTGACAAATGAGATCTAATTGAACTAAAGAGCTTCTGCACAGCAAAAGAAACTACCATCAGAGTGAACAGGCAACCTACAGAATGGGAGAAAATTTTTGCAATCTACTCATCTGACAAAGGGCTAATATCCAGAAAACAATGAACTCCAACAAATTTACAAGAAAAAAACAAACAACCCCATCAGAAAGTGGGCAAAGGATATGAACAGACACTTCTCAAAAGAAGACATTTATGCAGCCAAAAGACACATGAAAAAATGCTCATCATCACTGGCCATCAGAGAAATGCAAATCAAAACCACAATGAGATACCATCTTAACACCAGTTAGAATGGCCATCATTAAAAAGTCAGGAAAAAACAGATGCTGGAGAGGATGTGGAGAAATAGGAACACTTTTACACTGTTGTTTGGACTGTAAACTAGTTCAACCATTGTGGAAGTCAGTGTGGCAATTCCTCAGGGATCTAGAACTAGAAATACCATTTGACCCAGCCATCCCATTACTGGGTATATACCCAAAGGATTATAAATCAGGCTGCTATAAAGACACATGCACACGTATGTTTATTGTGGCACTATTCACAATAGCAAAGACTTGGAACCAGCCCAAATGTCCAACAATGATAGACTGCATTAAGAAAATGTGGCACATATACACCATGGAATACTATGCAGCCATAAAAAATGATGAGTTTATGTCTTTGTAGGGACATGGATGAAGCTGGAAACCATCATTCTCAGCAAACTATCACAAGGACAAAAAAAACAAACACTGCAAGTTCTCACTCATAGGTGGGAATTGAACAATGAGAACTCATGGACACAGGAAGGAGAACATCACACACCAGGGCCTGTTGTGGGGTGGGGGAAGGGGGAGGGATAGCATTAGGAGATATACCTAATGTTAAATGACAAGTTAATGGGTGCAGCGCACCAACATGGCACATATATACATATGTAACAAACCTGCACATTGTGCACATGTACCCTAAAACTTAAAGTATAATAAAAATAAATAAATAAATAAGTGCTAGTATCTTATGTGCTTATAATTTTCATTTTCCTGGTGACAAATGATGTTGAGCATCTCTTTGTATGCTTATTTGCTGTCTGTATATCTTATTTCATAAAATTCAAATCTTTTGGTCTTTTTTTTTTTTTTTTTTGAGACGGAGTCTTGTTCTGTGGCCCAGGCTGGAGTGTAGTGGTGCAATCTCGGCTCACTGCAAGCTCCGCCCCCCGGGTTTGTGCCATTCTCCTGCCTTAGCCTCCCTAGTAACTGGGACTACAGGCACCCGCCACCATGCTGGGCTAATTTTTTTGTATTTTTAGTAGAGACAGGGTTTCACCATGTTCGCCAGGATGGTCTCGATCTCCTGACCTCGTGATCCGCCTGCCTCAGCCTCCCAAAGTGCTGCGATTACAGGTGTGAGCCACCGTGCCTGGCCCTTGGTCACTTTTTAAATTGAGATGCTGATTTGTTTTTTGTTGAAATATTGTGTGTGTTTGTGAATATATGATATCCAAACATTTTCTCCAATTCTGTAGCTTATTTTTTCTATTTTTGAATAACTTCTTTCATAGAGCAAAAGTTTTAAAAAAGTTTTGATGAAGTCTAATGTATTATTATTATTTTTATGACTCATGCTTTTGATGTCATATCTAAAAATTCTGCCTAATCCAAGGTCATGAAGACTTTCTTCTGGAAGTTTTATAGTTTTGTATCAAAAATCTCACATTTAGTTCTATAATGCATTCTTATACATTTAGAACTAATATTTGTATAAGGTGTGAGGTACATTGAATTGAATTGAACACCTTTGAGAGACATTTTTTCTTTATGTTGGAAGGCCCTGTTTCCAGTTCAACCATTGTAAGCCTTAAGATGTTCCATTTTCTTATATCAGGGTTATAACTCTAATAAGAATCCCCTTTAAGGCTGAGCAAATTTGAACCAAAGAAAGGCTTAATTTTAATTAAGTAGGTTGACTGCAATGACTGTTAATAAAGAATAAATATATTAAATGCTGAAAATATCTACTCCTTGCTTTGAGTAAGTATTGGTTGGCAAAATCAACACAAAGTATTGGTTGGCAAAATCAACACAAAGTATGCACGCTTATCTATGTATTTATCAATTCGTTTATACACACACACATATCTGTAGACTTAAAGAGGTATCAGCAATTGCCTCTCTCTAGACCTTTAAGCCATAATTGTTTAGAAATTCCAGCTACCCTTTTCCTGGAAGCAGGAGATTTTGGTTAGTGGGTTTAGGATTTGTCATAAATTGTCACATTATCCAGTTTATAAAATGTCCTTGATTTGGGTAGACCAAAGATAGATTTTCCATTACATCACTTAGAAATGGATAGGTCTTCCCATAAACACACTTTGACATTTTATCCCAACTTTCATATTTTGTATGTTTTATTTCCATTTTTAATGGCACTTTTGCTGGCAACCAGCACATCCCTTTTGATGCTGCTGGCAATGTCAAGACGCTTGAGTGCCTTTCTTAGCCCCAAATCAGCGAGAACAGCAGCATGGCTTTTCTGCCAAGCCCACTGTGTTTGAGGCCTGAGGCATCTCCATCACCACTGGACTCAATGAAACCTTCACACACAGCTGGATGCATTTTTTAATTTCTTGGATTTATGATTGATGACTTTCTCACTATTGTTGATTCATTAGGGTTTATGGGTTCACTTATAATATGATTCTGTCAGGCTTTAGCCTAAAATATTACCCTTGAACTTAAAAAAATGCAATGGTGTAGGCCAGCCTTTAAAAAAAAAGTACAGAACATGTACTCTGGAAGACTGAATTATTCATTCCAACTTTTTACTCCCCTGCAATTGGATTATACATCTATACCCTTTGCCTTGTAGCATTGCATTGTTCCTCCACAGGACAATGAGATAGTGAGAGGGGTTTGCTTCCCCCTAAACTCCTCTTTATTGAATATGGACTCGGCCAATGAAATATAGTAGAAGTGACATGAACAGAGGCTTTATGTATGCTTACATGGTTTGGTTGTCCTTTTGTGCTCCTGTGATTATCATGAAAAAAGCATGACCCAGTTAGCTTCTATCCCCTCAGCTTAGACCCAGAATGAAACACATAGAGCTAACCCACACCTGATCTTCAGCCTGGACCTAAACCAGGCAACCTTTATCCTGAAGCAGAGCTATCCTAGCCAAGGACCAGTGAGTAAACAATAAATAAATAAATAAATAAAATGCTGTTATTTATGAGCCACTGAGTTTTGTTATGTGGCATTGTTATAGCAATAGCTGACTAATACACTTATCCATCTCCCAGTCTCCCAATCATGTTTCCCATGGACAGTCATGTCCATGTGGAACCCAGCACCAATTGTTATTTGGTAGGATAAACAAACAAGTGAATACTTGCAGACATAATAACTATCTTCTCATGAATTTTTCTTCAGCCAGGTTCATTCTTCAAGAATCTACTCTGAGCAGATTCTCTCAGTATGCTTTTAGTAAGATGAATGTATCCAGAATTATAGAATGTAAACACTGTCACATCTTAATTGTCCTCATAAGTGCTAGATCCCAGGACCTGCAGCTTCTGTCAATTTGCTGTATTATGATTTATGCATGGAGTGATGGCACAGGTTATGAGCTGTAGGAGCCAAATTTCTTGGCAGTAGGAAGAGCCATTAAAATCCAGTCTTTCCCTAATAATATTAACAAACCCTGATTATTAGCAGTTGATAAAACATCTATTGCAATGCTCAGAGAGTATCCACGTGGAATAACAGTCTACTCCTGTTTCACCTTTATTCCTAAATTAATACATTTCTTGGCATCCCTTTCTCCATGACTATAGGTGCATTTTGTAGTTACACTACGAGGGTTGGCCAGACCTCACAAGTGTAATTTCTTACACCCAGATCTTTAGCTAGATAGATTAATTGGAATCATTTAGCACACTGTAATCAATGTGCTATTTCAACATTGAAGGACATAGGTTGATAGTCCCTTTACAAGGCATGTCTCAGAATTGAATGCCATTATCTTACCAGCAGAAAGTTTCTAGTTGACCTTCTGCTCCAGATTTGTACCTTTACAAATCTGGTCAAATAGTTGTCCTACTTTCAATGTATCATGCAAAGTCCCAAAATTTTAAAAATAATCACCAAGTACAGAAAATCTTACTTAAGTTATAAAATATGCGTTAGCATGCTTTATTTTCTCAAAACCTACCTCCCCTTCTCCACCTTGACCTTTTCTACTTCTCATACCACTATTTCCTTCCTCATTGAATCAGATTGTTTATCCTCTGGCTGCCCAAGCACAGGCTGACTGGGCAAGGTTTAATTGTATGAGACATGATTAGCCTATACGAACAAATTCTGAAGGGAGATATTGTAGTTTCCTTTTAATGTTTACTGGTCTCTTATATAGAGGAGGGAGTACATTTGTCCTATTTTGCCATTGAAAGAACAGAGCTGGACAAATATGAGCCAGTTTTAGATAGAAAGTTTGGGCCCAATTAAAAAGCTTTAAACAACTGGGAATGTCCAATACAAGAGCAAAAAGCAGTGAGCTCCTTGTCAGTGGATGTGTTCAAGTTTCTTAGGCATAATAGAGAGGGAATTCTTGTGTCTCTGAGTATCTGCCAGTCCCCAGATATTATGATTTGGTCTATTTGATTCTTTATAGTTTATCAACACAAGCATTTGTGCTGTTTAGCTGGGACAATACAGACTACCAAGTGCCATAATATTTTTATTATTCTAGGATGAAATGGAAAAGACAAGCGAAATTCGTAGCCTTGAATCTGATATGTCCTTCTGAATAGTTTGGCTTCTGTGAAATCTAAATTAAAAGATAATGTGTATGATGGAAAACATTCCATTTCTTTGCATTGTGTTGGTTAGTTTTTCGTTACATCTACAGTTGATCCCCACTGTCTAGAGACATAAACACAGTTGACGCTAGATCAACATGGGTTTGAATTGTGTGGGTCCACTTATACAGAGATTTTTTTCTGTCTCTGCCACCCATGAGATGCCAAGACCAACCCTTCCTCTTCCTACTCCTTAGCCTTCTTGACATGAAGATGAGGATGAAAACCTTTATGATGATGCACTTCCACTTAATGAATGTAAATATATTTTCCTTTCCTTATGATTTTCTTAAGAACATTTACTTTTCTCTAGCTTACCCTATTGTAAGGACACAATATATAATATATAACATATAAAATATGTGTTAATCCACTATTTATGTTATAGGTAAGGCTTCTGGTAAACAGTAGGCTATTAGTAGTTAAATTCTGGGGGAGTCAAAAATTTTATACAGAGTTTTGACTACAGGGGTGGTCAGTGTCCCCAGCCTCCATGTTGTTCAAGGGTCAGCTGTACATGTGTAACTTTATGGCTGAGAAAACGTTAATTTACCATCTGCCGTAGCAGTTCTAAAAGCAGTTCTTGTCACTCTCTTTTCTATTTCCTAACCACAACTTTCGGTTAAGTTTCTTTTAATCTTGTTACATTACTATATAGAGAGTACTATGAGTAACACTTTCTATGTAGGCTTATTAAATTAAATCAAGAATGGAATACAAAATGTACAAAACTGGTATTATATATAGTGAGAATTCTCCCTCTAAAAAAAATCAAGTCAGCTTCAAAAAAAAATAAATAAATAAATAAATAAGACTTTAGTTTCACCATCCAAATGGTTTAATTTGAGATTTGGAATTATTTTCCTCTGCCTAGAAACAACCTTCAGAATGTCCTTCACTGTGATCTCTTAGTGGTGAACTATCTCAGTGTTTGACAGAAAATGTTATTCTTGAAGAATATTTTTCCTGATGAAGAATAGCAGTTACTATTATTATTTTCAACACACCAAAGATATTGATCCTCTGGCTTCTAGCATCCATTGCTGCTATTGAGAAGTCAGCTATCAGTCTAACTGCGGCTTATTTGAAGGTAGTCTTTTTTTTATCTGGCTACTTTTGGGATTTCTCCTTGTCTTTGACTTTTTGTAGTTTCTCTCCAATGCAACTAGATAAGAATTTCATTTATCTACATGGTTTGGAATTCATTATGTTCCTTGAATTAGAGCATAAATTTTGGTTTGATGTTGTGAACCCGAAACATCTGAAACAGGTGTCATTCAATTTAGAAAGTTTATTTTGCCAAAGTTAAGGACGTGCCCATGACACAGCCTCAGGAAGTTCTGATGACATGTGCCCAAGGTGATCAGGGGCACAGTTTGCTTTTATACATTTTAGGGACGCATGAGACATCAATCAGTATGTGTAAGTTGTACATTGGTTCAGTCCAGTAAGGTGGGACAGCTCGAACTGGGGGCTGCCATGTTAGAAGTAGATAAGAGACAAAAGGTTGCATTCTTCTTCTTTTTTTTTTTTTTTTTCTTTTGAGATGGAGTCTCGCTCTGTCACCCAGGCTGGAGTGCAGTGGCATGATCTCGGTTCACTGCAAGTTCTGTCTCCCGGGTTCACACCATTCTCCTGCCTCAGCCTCCCGAGTAGCTGGGACTACAGGCGCCTGCCACCATGCCCGGCTAATTTTTTTTATTTTTAGTAGAGGCGGGGTTTCACTGTATTAGTCAGCATGGTCTCAATCTCCTGACCTCTTGATCCACCTGCCTCGGCCTCCCAAAGTGTTGGGATTACAGGCGTGAGCCACCGCGCCCAGACAAAAAGTTGCATTCTTTTTAGTCCTTGATCAGCCTTCCACTGAACACCTAATTTAGTCTGGCTCAGTGAGTCTGCATTTTTACATAAACAATAGGGCAGAGGAAGCAATCAGATATGAATTTGTCTCAGGTGAGTCTCAGAGGAATGACTTTGAATAGAATGGAGGCAGGTTTGCCCTAAGCAGTTCCCAGCTTTACTTTTCCCTTTAGCTTAGTGATTCCCTAATTTTTGCTTCTGTATTTTCTGAGTTGGTTATTTATTTCTCCATGCTTCATTTTTAATATTTTTGACCCATATGCCAATTCTATAGTTTTCTCTTCAGATACTACTAACTCTATGTGTTGAAGTCTTGATTTGGTTATTATATTTTTTAATTCTATATTTTTTATTTAATTTATTTTCAAGTATTGCAGGTCACTTTTTATGGTTTCCAGTTCCATGCTGTAATTTTCAGCTTGTCCTTTTTAGCTCATTGGACATAATAAGCATAGTTTTTTTGTTTTGTTTTTTCTAGCCTGTCTCTAATGATTCTAATATCTGGAATCCTATATCCTATTCTTTTTACTTCACATTATGTTATACACACAAAGTTACTTAATGTCCTTACTTATAATTTTGATATCTGTGTAACATTCTGTTGATCAAAGAAATGATAGTTTCCTCATTTTTAAAATGAGGATATGTCTACCTCTTGGGGTAGTTGCCTGGCTCACAGTGATAGTCTTCTTGTAGAGTAAACCCTAAGTAATTATTTCTGTCCTCTTGTATCTTTGCAATAACTTATGATTTTTAAAATAATATTTGTATATAGGTGGGTCTTGAAGAAAACATGGAAAATAAAATAAATCGATAGGGTATTGGGATTGTGTGTGTTTAAATTTTCTATTTTTATATTGGAATATGTTTGGGTAGTAAGTTCAAATCATGAAAAATTGAGTGTCTTAAAGATAAAATGATAATAGCCAATATTTTAATAAGCACCTACTATGTACCAGGCCCTATTTGAAGCTCTTTACATCTATAAAGTAAATTAGTCCTCCCAGAAACCCTCTTTGAGCAATATTATTATTATGCCTGTTTTACAAATGCAAAAGTCGAGGCACAAAAGGGTTAAATAACTTATTCATAGTCGCACAGTTAGTAAAAAACTATGCCAGGATTCTGACACAAGCGGCCTGGCCCCGCCCCAGAATCCAGTTTCTTAATTACTTATTGGTTCATGAAAAAAGGAAGCAGAAAGGAAAATTAAACAAGAATGTCAAAAAGTATACCTCCACCAACCTTATTATTACATCTTTTTCAATATCCTCAGAACCATTCTGTGCTAATCCTAGAGGGCTCGGAAAGAAAAGATGGGAAGGAAAAAGGAAGGTATTCCAGGTCCTGCGGGTGCATAATCAAGTACTCTAAGACTTAGTGTCATAAAGCAACCATTTATTTTGTTCATGGATTCTCTGGGTCGGGAATCCAGAAAGGACAGAGGGGTCAAGGCTGGTCTCTGTGTCACAATGTCAGGAGCCTCAGCTGGAAGACTGGAAGCTGGGGATAGGAATACTCATTGGAAGCTCCTTTACTCACATGTCTGGCTATTGATGATGGCCATTAGCTGGGTGCTGAGCAACTCTCCATCAAGGGGCCATCATGGGGACTTTCCTCATTGGGTAATTGGAGCTTCCTCATGGTCTAGGACTGGTTTCTCAGAGTTAGCATCTTCAGACAGATAATAAGAGAAGCTAAGGCAGAAACTCTTTTGATCTAGATGGGAAGTCACATAGCATCTTTTTCACCATACTCTGTTGGTTGAAGCAGTCAGGAGCTCCTGTGCGGGCTCAAGAGAGGAACAGTCACATCATAAAATATCAAGTGAGATGGGATATATATCGGAATATACAATATGCCTCAGAAGGAATATACAAAAGTTCATTTCTGTGTTACACTGAAGCCAATAGAAGGCAGAGCGGTGATTTACATACTCTGCTAAATGTGATCAATATTCTCTTTTACACTAAAAATATAGTTAAAAATATATCTTTATCCAGAGTAGTGGCAAACAAATAGATATATTAGTTTACATAAATGCAAATAGCATTAGAACTAACAATCTTTATAAATCTGCCTTAAATAATCTAAAACTACATCCAATATTTTACAGTAGGACTCTCATTCTTTAGGAAGAAAAATCTGATTTTACACATAATGACTGATCTTCACATCCGAGGACCAAGCTGAGAATGGCACTGTGTGGGCAATGCTTTCCATTGAGCAGACAGAGTCTTTGACAGTGAGAGCTTATCTGGAGTGGCAATTTGGTTAAGTGTAAATTATGACACAAACAGATACTTTGGAGAATATAAAATGGGACTTTAGAGTCACCGAAAAACAATGACAGTAAAAGTTGAATTTTATGAGAAACTAATACAATCTTTCAACAAAAGTAGTCAATGAGACTACTTTTGGGCACTCTATTTATAAGGTGAAACTCATGCTTATAGTAAGCCCGCAGATTATGACATACTGTGCCTTTTTGATATGGCATATAAAGAGCCTAAAATATCACAGAATGTCCTGTATTTGCTGGCTTTACCTGAGACACTGATACTAAGGTCAACAGTCTCCTGAATGGTTAGAAGAAGCTATCCGTGAGCCTCCACTGCATCTCAGAAGGTGAGTACACCACTTTTAAATCATCCCTAGCATCAGATGAGGTGGGACAAATTTCAAACCAAATGGGCTTAATAAAATCTTATGCAGGAAAAAAATAAATACACATTAAAATAAAACCCAAGCCCTCACCACGTGCAAAAACACCTGTGAGTTACTAGAAAGATTTTTCTTTCTTTGAGAAGAAGTCTCGCTCTGTCACCCCAGCTGGAGTGCAGTAGCGCGATCTCGGCTCACTGCAACCTCTGCCTCCCAGGTTCAAGAGATTCTCCTGCCTCAGGTCCCTAATAGCTGGGATTACAGGTGCCCGTCACCATGCCTGGCTAATTTTTGTATTTTTCAGTAGAGAAGGGGTTTCACCATGTTGGTTGGCCAGGCTGGTCTCGAGCTCCTGATCTAGGTGATCCTCCCCGCTTGGCCTCCCAAAGTGCTGGGATTACAGGCCTGAGCCACGGTGCCCAGCTGAAAGATTTTTCTTAAAGAAAATGATCATAATTACAGAATTCAGAGGCATCAAAGCCAGACATAGGCACAAGAATTCACAATCCTGTCCAGGACAGATGGATATGTGGGTTGAGCCAACTGCTTTCTGTGGGTCTCAGACAGTCAGAGGGACGACTGACAAGATTTGGGACCTCCAGCTGAGCCCCTTCTTCAGCTAACCCAAGGCCTCAGGGATGTGTGAGCTCCTTCACCTCAGGCTAGGTTTTTGTTTGTTTGTTTGTTTGTTTGTTTTTTGACCTTCCATACCCTAGTGGTGATATCTTTAAGAACAACAACAAAAACAATTCTTAGGCAAGATGTGGTGACTATAACTATGTAAGAATCTCTTTATGTGCCTGGTATTTATCCAGTATCCTTTCAATAGTCATAATAATAGTCTCCCTGGTGCACTGTATTCTCTCAAAGGTTTTAAATGTTTACATGCAACCATCTCTAGAATATCAAATGGTCTCTCTTCAACTAGAATAAAAACTGAAATAAACGTGCAGCCATGAGGACACCTATAAATGACGTGCTGGGACCAGAAACCCAAAATGATGGTAACTGAGAGTGGCGCTAAGGCCCTAAGTTTTGGTCACACTCTCACCTGAGAACCTAACCAAAAAGGGGCAAATTTTTAAATAAAATTATGGGAGGCCATTGTTTTGGACTGAGCTGATGCACTAGGCTCCAACAGACCAAACCAAACCAAACCAAAATGGAGTTGCTCGTGCTAAGACTTTAAGGAAACACATAGATTCTAGAACAGACCACAGACCGGGTTTTGTTTTTCTCCTGCAAACCTCTATAACAAACATTCCTGACAGCATAGGTATCCACCCCTGAAGTTCCCATTAAATCTTTTAACCAAATTCATTTCCTCTCACCTAGAGACCATCAAGCTTCAGATGATCATGCTACAAAGGTTTCAGCTGGTTCCAGGTGAAGACACCACCCCTGGCCATCATGGAGCTACCCTGCCTCCACTAGACAGAGCAGGGTGAGCGTTCCATGATCCTCAATAGGTAGGGACAATCCCCCAAGCCAGCATGAAGCAGTTACAGAAGAAAGACCATCAGTCCCTCTGCGTCCCATAAAGATTTATAGGGATCACATCTTTCACTGGGGAGATGCAGCAGGAGAATAGGGCGTGGAGGCAGGGAAATTAAGGACTTCCTAGAACTAAATCAAATGAAAACACTTCAGCTATGACAAGAAATATCCTCTTCATTTACATAGGGCATACACCAAGTAACCAATGGAAACCTCTAGAGGATTGTGTGTGTGTGTGTGTGTGTGTGTGTGTGTGTGTGTGTTTTGAGATGGAGTCTCACTCTGTTGCCCAGGCTGGAGTGCAGTGGCGCGATCTCGGCTCACTGCAAGCTCCGCCTCTTGGGTTCACGCCATTCTCCTGCCTCAGCCTCCCGAGTAGCTGGGACTACAGGCGCCTGCCACCACTCCCGGCTAATTTTTTTTGTATTTTTTTAGTAGAGACGGGGTTTCACCGTGTTCGCCAGGATGGCCTCGATCTCCTGACCTTGTGATCCGCCCACCTTGGCCTCCCAAAGTGCTGGGATTACAGGCCTCAGCCACCACGTCAGGCCCTTCTAGAGGATATTTAAACCCCAGAACATTTTGTAACCGGGCCCTTGAGCCACTTGCTTGGGCCTGCTCCCACCCTGTAGAGTGTGTTTTCACTTTCAATAAATCCCTGCTTTTGTTGCTTTATTCTTTCCTTGCTTTATTTGTGTGTTTTGTCCAACTATTTGTTCAAAACACCAAGGACCTAGACACCCTCAGTCGGTAACACTTTTGTCACTATCTTGGTTTTGGTGGGTTTTGGCCGGCTTCTTTACCACATCCTTTTATCAGCAAGGTCTTTGTGACTTATACCTTGTGCCAACCTCCTATCTCATCCTGTGACTTAGAATGCCTAACCTCCTGGGAATGCAGCCCAGTAGGTCTCAGTCTCATTTTACCCACCCCCTATTCAAGATGGGGTTGCACTCTTTCAAATGCCTCTGACAGGAGCTTACCATTTTGGGGGGAGCAAACTTGAAGGATAACATTTTGATTTAAGCTTAGCTATAGTCAACACAGACCTAACACAGACAACAGTGGGTTCCTTCCCTTGTCTGACAGTGAAACCTATGGCTCACTTCAGCCCTCTCTCACCTAGTCACGTGGGGTCACTGGAGCATGATTGCAGTTGTCTTCACAGTAGTCTCCTTAACATGCTACAGTGGGATGCCATCCACTGCTCAGTATCATCAGAACATGTTGTCTCTGTGTCCTCACTTCCAATGTCTGCTTATTTTTATCCTCCTCACTGGTTTTCAAAGGCCTCCTTATCCACTTGCCAATCTCAGCCAATAAGCTCCTTCTCTCTGGCCACAGAGTTAGAGGGCTGCCTTTCTTCCTTTTCCATAATTCAACTCACTTGTCAGACCCAGCTCAAGCTCCTCTATCTGAATTTCTATGTAGGGAGGCTGTTGACTAACGGGCCATCGGGGCTGCCTCATTACTCTGTTGTCTGGAACATACCCATCTTTGCAAGGAATTGCACAATGTATTAACGGCTTCTGAAAATAAGGCTTACCATGCCTCTTGGAAAACTAGGATAAAATTTATCTGAAATAAAATGACCAATGCAAGCTTAAAAAAGAAACCCACATAAACTAAACTTTTTGGAAACAAAACAGAAGTTTTTGGCCTGAATAACTTCCTCAAATTTACTCCAGTTAAGGGCTTATTTATAGAGACAACCCAACAGATCCTTCTAGACTTTTCTTTAACCTAATAGGTCAATTAATTCTTTAGTTTCTTTTCCACCATTCCCTGCCCACCTCAAAATCTTTATGCTGAAAAAGTATAGAATCTATAGGACCAGATTGTAAATTTTTTGAAGTCAGCTTCTGAGCCTTAAATTTCCTCAGAGTCCTAAGAATGTTTAGTACATTATCTTACATACAGTAGATCCTCAGATATTGTTTGTTAAGTCGGCTATATTTCAGCTTCCAGTTATGTGACATAAAATAAATGTTTGACAATACAGGCTGGATTAAATTACCTCTACCTAATTCGCCTGAGATCCTGAAACAGATTTTCTAAGATCTTAAGCTACAGGAAAAATACATGAAATACAGGGAAGTTATCTCCTATCACCACACAAATAGTAAAATACTCTCTAGGGAAGCCGGCTTTCATTAGGCTACTCCTAATTATCTGAAACTGTATTTCAACTTGACTAGAATCTCTCACACTGCACATTCTCCCTGGATGACCTCAGCCTCCCTTGCAGCTTCAGCTACCTCCTAAAAGTGAATACTTCTCAAATGTCTTTCCAGCTCCTATCCCTTTCATGACCTCTGGGCCATCCAATCCAACTCTTTGCTGGAAATATCTACTTGAGTGCTCAACAGCCAGCTCAAAGTTAATATGTCCAAAGTTAAACTCCAAAGCTGCTCTTCTTCATATTCCGAATATTATTTTGTAACAACATCATCCTTCGTACTGGACCCCAGCCAAAAACCTTGGCATCATGCCTGACGTTTCCCTCAACCTTACTCTCCAGATTGAATCAGTTGCTATATACCATTGTGTTTGTCTTCTTAGCTCTTTATTTTTTAACAGTTTTTTAAGGTTTAATTTATATTCTATAAAATTCATACACTTTAAATATATTATTCGATGTGTCTTAACAAATGCATGTGGTTTTGCAACCATCATCCAGTTTTAAAACACTCCCATTACATCAAAAATTTCCCTGGTGACTCTTTGCACACCATCCTGGTCCCAAGCAACCACTTATATGTTTCTATAGTTTTACCTTTTCTGGAAATTTCATACAAATGGAATCATACAATACAAAGTCTTTTGTGTCTGGTTTCTTCACTTTCCATGAGGTTTTTAAGATTCATCCATGTTGTTGCATATATCAATAGTTTGTTTCCTTTTATTGTTGACAGTATTCCATGCATGGCTATAACACATTTTGCTTATCTGTGGACATTTGGGTTGCTTCCAGTGTGGGCTATTATGACTCATGTGGCTATGAACATTCTCATACAAGTCTTTCTGTAGATAGAGGTTTTCTTCCTTATTCTTGGATAGATAACTTGGACTGGAATTGCTGGTTTATGTGGTAAACGTATGTTTAACTTTTTAAGAAACTGCCAAACTGTTTTACAAATTGGAAGTATTATTTTATATTCCCACCTGCAGTGTGTTAAGGTACGAGTTTTCCACATCCTTATTCATACTTGTTATTGTCTGTTTTTTAACAGTAGCTGTACTAATAGGAGTACCATTGCATTTCATTATCATTTAATTTCTATTTCCCTAATGACAAATGATGTTGAACATCTTTTCATGAAATCTACCATCCATCTATCTTCTCTAGTGGGTATTTATTCGTATATTTTGCTATTTTTTTATTAGGTTGTTTGTCTGTTACTATTGAGTATAAAGATTTTTATATTTTTGGGATACAAATCCTTTATCAGTTATATGCTTTCCCAATATTTTCCTGTATCTGTGACTTGCATTTTCATTTTCCTATTAATGTCTTTTGAAGAGCCAACATTTTAAATTTCTTAGCTCTTTTACTTATGTATTTATTTACTTAAATTTTTTTTATTTCAATAGTTTTGGGGGTACAGGGTTTTTTGGTTACATGGATGAGTTCTTTAGTGGTGGATTCTGAGATTTTAGGGCACCCATCTCTCAAGCAGTGTACACAGTACCCAATATGTAGCGTTTTATTCCTCACCCTCTTCCATACCTCCCCTTGAGTCCCCACAGTTCATTATATCATTCTGTATGTCTTGTGTCCTTATAGCTTACTTCCCACTTACAAGTGAGAACATATGGTATTTGGTTTTCCATTCCTGAGTTACTTCACTTAGAATAATGACCTCCAGCTCCATCCAAGTTGCTCCATAGGACATTATTTCATTCCTTTTTATGGCTGAGTATTATTCCATCATGCATATATACCACCTTTTCTTTACCCACTCATTTGTCAATGGGCACTAAGGTTGGTTCCGTATCTTTGCAATTGTGAATGGTGAGCTTAGCTTTTTAAATCTGGCTCATTCTTCTTTTTTTTTTTTTTTCAGTCACTTCCTTAAGTTCGGCTCTTTTCTATTCTTGGCTGATCTTTTGCAGTAGCCTAGTGATCAGTCTCTTTACCACCATGTTGCATTTTCTTAGGTGCCTCTTGCTTTCAGGATTAAACACCAACTTCTTAGCCATACGTGTGATGACTTACGGAGGTGTGCCATTCAGATCTCCTTTCAAAGAACTTGCTGCAAGAAGCAGAGCTGACTGACAGCCTCCAGCTGCCACACTGGGGATCCATCTCAGCACTCATGCCATCTCCACTCTTGGTCCAGGCTGTACTTATCCAGTCACTGAGCAGATGGTTGCACTAAAGCTGAGCCATCCTGCACAATGCAAGAGTTTTCTAACAGGCCACCTATGCCTGGGAACTCCTCATCAGCCTGGCCAATGATTTCTGGAACTGCTGCTTTCTGAGGCTTGTCCAACTCACTCCTTTCTTCCCTCTTTCC